>NC_000010.11:79688549-79840064 GCF_000001405.40 Homo sapiens
GTGGGGGTGGGGGCCAAGGGGCTATTACTGCTGTTTGGAAATATTTGCCTCTTGTAGATCCAGCCTTAATGGTTTTGTGACATCCTAGTACTAGCAAACCCTGCACAAAGTGGGTATCAGAGTTAATACTGTGAGGAGACAAAGTAGTGAGAATAGTTTTGCTAAAGATAATGAAGTGTCACATAATGTCTGCATTTTACCATTGATTTGAGTGCATCCTTAGAAAAACTTAATGTAATGAAAAACCCAGGACATTTTTGGAAATCGTATGCTCTCTAGCAACTTTGTGTGAATTTTTATACAAACACTGTTTTATGAGTTACATAAAATGTTATAAAAATAGAAAAAAAGAGGAAATTATCCTATACTCTCCTGGTAGAAGCACAGACCACACACTCACAGCTCTAGAGTGGACGCACAGCCACCACATTTCCTGAATAAATTCACACTCTTCAGATTACACAAACTCAAACATGCAGATGCTTGAATAACACACCCACGATATACTCACAGATCCAAATACACACATGGCCGTATACTCCCAAATACAAACATACACAAGCCTCCATCTTGAAAACTATAAATATTCTGTCCATATCCTCAGGTTACATACATGTAGTGGTAACACCCAAATACACCCAGCCATCTCTCTGCCTCCAAATTCTTCACACCAAAAATGTACATCTAAATTCTCATCTAGACACCGTAAGCATAAAGTCCTCTACTCTGAATACACACAAATCCAAAACACAAAGCATTAAAACATAGAACATTACCTGCCTTTTCAAATGTATGCACACATATTCACAATATCTCACAGTACCGTCAAAATACACAAAACCACCCCCAGCATGCAAATACACACACACCATTCAAATAGGAACACATAACTATCCAGTACCCTCAGAATAAACCCAAAACCCACTATGCTTCTGTAATATACTAAAAACTCACCCATATTCCCCTAAAAACACATTTCTGACACCACTGAATACTTAACCTACCTACATAAATATATATCTTAAATATATAACACATATACATGACACAGAATACAAATACCCAAAACAGATACAAATCCCCAAAATGTGTTAGTATAAAAATATCCCACACCTGCCAATGCCTCGTCACACACCAGCCTTCACACACCTAAACACACTCCCTCATCAACTCCCCATACTCCTTAGTGAAATATAAACACAGCAATGGAACATGTTCTGAATGTATACACAATGGGGCAGATGTATCACTATGAAGAGTATTCATGGTCCTTCTCTGTGGTATCTCTGTCTGAGAGATTATACATCCCTAGTCTGTTTAACTCGAGTATGGCCACATGACTTGTTATGGCAAATGAAATGTGAGCAGAAATGCCATATATGACTCTGAGCAGAAGAAGTCCTTCTAGTCCTGTCCCAAATGAGGCTGCTCCATCCATCTGGATCCAAGACACAGGACCAGTAACTGATCAAAGCCAACCAATGGAGGACACATAACATACATGAGAAACCTACCTTGTTGGAAGTCACTGAGATGCAGAATTATTTTCTTACATCAGATAATCTGAGATATTTTGATGGATGCATACCCCACCCTCAAAAACAGAGAAATACCACACTGCACACACACACACATACACGTCCTCTCAAAACTCCCCAAATATGCATCCTCAATCATCTACAGTTAGAAATACACATCTACAACCTTCCATGATCCAAATAAATGCACAGACACACCAACTCCCAATCTCCAAATGCATATATTAGACACTCCAACCTTCTCAGGCCAGCTGCATAAAACCTGCAGAAGCTATGAATTCACACATGCCTCATCCCACCAGAATTCAACACATACTTCACATAACCTTACCCTCCTTCAAATACATATACATGCTCCCTACACATACTCTGAATATCCACATAAACTACCCACAGTCCAGAACACATATAATCCAAAAGAATCCTCACATTATACACAAAACTCCAACTCTACCACAAACATATGTGGTGGCTTTCCTCCCTAATACATATACAGCCCCTCAAACTCCCTAAATTCATACATACAAACTCCAACTTTGTATGCACAAAGACACACTACCCTAAACATACAGACCTCCACCTCCTACAATCCTGAACACACAGACACATGCATTTGTCTTACACCCTCAGACTACAAATGAAGAAATGGATTCAAGCTGAACAGAGGCAGACTGTGGTTGATGCAGGCATCAGCCACCTAGATCCCTCCTTGATGAATGACTTGTTTCACCATTTGCTGGGAATACTGTTGGAAGATAGACTTGGCTCTCAGGCCCTCCCAGGGTTGCTTCAGCTATGGAGAGCACCCTTGCTGAGTTCTCTCCACTTTCTGGGGAAGCTTCATATCCAGTGGCTAATCCAAGCAGGTGTAAAGCGGCTGACTAAGGACAGTTCTATTGAGACATTTTAGTCCAACAGCAGCATATGGGGTCAGGTGAGACTGTTTGGGGGCCTGAGTCATAGTTTAACTTCTCCTTCAATGAAACTATGCTCCCTTTTTTCACTTTTTAAAAAGCAAAACATTATACTCATAAATTCTCAGGGACTGAACTAAGGGCACCCAACCCGGGACCACATTCTTTGATTCCTTCTTTCAATGATTATTTTATTGTTTTTTATTTTTTTATTTTTTTTGAGACAGAGTCTCGCTCTGTCACCCAGGCTGGAGCACAGTGGCGCAATCTCGGCTCACTGCAAGCTCCGCCTCCTGGGTTCAAGCCATTCCCCTGCCTCAGCCTCCTGAGTAGCTGGGACTACAGGCACCCACCACCACACCGAGCTAATTTTTTGTATTTTTAGTAGAGACAGGGTTTCACCATGTTAGCCAGGATGGTCTCAATCTCCTGACCTTGTGATCTGCCCACCTCGGCCTCCAAAAGTGCTGGGATTACAGGCATGAGCCACCACACCCGGCCCATTCAATGATTATTTATTAAGCATCAACAAATACAATGATGACTACTCTCTTATGGAGACTATATCCCATGGAAGTAAACAGATAATAAATAAATATACTATGAATACAAACACGTACACACAGTTTCCTGGAGATGTTCAGTCAGCAATTAGATTAAGCAACTGAGGCTCTGTAGAGACAAGTGAGGGGCTAAAAATATAGATTTGAGGGAAAATGCAAAGGAGAGAGTACATTCCCTCATATAAAATTGTTTCTCCTGGTGAGGTTTCCTGCAATTTTGGCACAAGGCATGCATTCGTTTTCAGGTCTATCGGTTATTTACTGTGGTAATACTGTAGATCGGCAGATTACTGCAGAATCCAATGGACTGAAGCCATAAGCATTCACATCAGGCCTCTGAGGGTCAGTGATTTGGCTTGGCTCTGCTGGGTGGTCCTTCTGCTCCAGTCTGTTCCGCCGTTCTTTGTTGCCTCCTTGGTACAGACACTGTAATGGGTGCCCCAGAGGATTCTAAGGTGAATAGGTCAGCTCCCTGTGTCTGAGGTTTAAATCCTGTAGGAGCAGAGGTTTCCAGCATTAATTTTGCTACGAGACAGAGGTTGAAGTTGGGGATTTAGGGGCAAGAGCAGGGAGCCCATGCTCCCCTGGGGCCATCAGAAGAGGGGGCTCTGAGTGTGGATGGGAGGGGGCCTATACTAGGGAAATGGGCAGTTATGTTCCGTATGGACTAGTAATCACATTAGCTAACAGTTATGCCATATGCACCTACAGTACAGCCTTCACTGCTCCAAGCACTTTACACATATGAATGCCAATCTTTATAACCCTGTGGAGTTAGCACTATTATCCTCATTTTACAGATAAGTAAGCTGAGGCTCAGAGAGGTTAAAATACTTGCCCAAGGTCACAAAGGTCAGGTATACACTGGGGCTTCTGGGATTTGAGCCAGCAGTCTGGCTCCAGAGCCTGTACCCTTGACCTGACCATGGCTGCCCCTTGAGAAACTTCCCTGCCACTGGGGGAGTGCTGAGTGCAGAGAAGACATTTCATACAGGAAGTGACATTTCAGTTACATCTTCTGGCAATGAAGCTCCCCCTAAAATAAGGGGTCCTCATGGGGGAGGATCACCCAACCACAGCCCTTTCCAGTGCCCACTGTCAGCACAGCAGCTGTGTCCTTGCTGGTAGAACACCCCATCTCTCACCACCTGCTTCCCATGCTGGGCCTGGGCTTGTCCCTCCTGGGATACCTCCAGCTACATTTGCCTCCACCTCTCATTAGGAACCTGGGGTGACTCCCAAGAGAAGGCCCTGGTCTCCTTAAATATCCCAATTCTAACCTGCAGACACCATGGACATACTTATTACTCAAAGGATGGTTGAATAAAGTCTTGATCTGCAAGAAGGACATAGACCACTGAGCCCCAAGCTGACATTCCCCCAGTGTTCCCTACTTACAGCCCCAGGAAATGGGTCTGGGCAAGGAAGGAGAGGCTGGGGACTCTTGTGTGTAGAGGGGCTTCATATGCGCTGACATGCCCCCTCCACCTCTTTGTGCAGTCAAAGCCTGCCTCCCACTCCATTCCCGACCCCCAGCTCTCCCTGCTCTGTTCCTAGTGTCTGCCTGGCTGGCCCATTCTGCCTTCCCTGGTCAGCCCATTCTGCCTTTCCTGGTCTTGCCCGCTGAGTCTCCTTCCTTTGACCCCAGGCTCCTGCAGTGGGCATCAGAACAGCCTCCTTTGAAGGGGCAGTTCCTCAGTGGCCTCACTGTTTCCTTCTGAGTGTTCTCAGACCCACTGCTGTGTCACTATAGGGCACCAGGGCCCAGTGAGGACTGAGATGGGGACATATCCTTTTTCCTATCAGCTCCTGGGAAACAGAACAGTCAGAGGCTTCTAAGGGGCTGGACAGAGGGGCCACTCAGCACACAGCTGAGGATATCTTCTGTTCATAGAGAGAAGTGGGTGGTGCAGGATACATTTCATGACATACACTCCTCAAAAATATTGAGCCCAGAACAAATGGCTCAGGCCGACCTCAGCGATTCTAGCAATTGCCATTCATGCAACCTGCATGGGAAATTTTCTGTGCTGATTCAAGACCAAGAGACACATATACTTCTCCCCTAAAACTCAGGATCCATGACTACCCATTTCAAAACAAAGAAATCCAAGAAGATCTACCTGGTATACATTACAGTGCATTTTTTTAAGACATATATTATAAAAGCAGACAGAGCTCCATTCCGCCAACAAAACACAATACAACTAGTGCAACATACCCTCATTATGTTAGGGCAGGACATGAGGGGGCAGCAAGAACTACCAGGAATCCATTTGTACCACAGGGAAGTGGCTATCAGAACATTAAAGGAAGTGATGTTGGCACATTTTATTGGCAAGAGGATTCACCACGAGGAAGAAAAGGCCAGAAGGCGACTCCCGGTAAGGAGCAAGGCCCACAAATCCTCGGGTGAGTCTGAGGGAGGAGGTGGTGGCTGTGGGGTCAGCAGGTGGACACCTCCATCACGTGGCTCCCTCTGCTGGGCTTGTGGCCCCATGTGCAATAGAGAAACTAATGGAAGGTTGAGTCACCCAATCAGAAACAAGCTGGCCAGACGTAATGGCTCACACCTGTAATCCCAGCACTTTGGGAGGCCGAGGCAGGTGGATCACCTGAGGTTAGGAGTTCGAGACCAGCCTGGCCAACATGGCAAAACCCCATCTTTACTAAAAATACAAAATTAGCTGGGCTTGGTGGTGCATGCCTGTAATCCCAGCTACTCTGGAGGCTGACGCAGGAGAATGGCTTAGAACCCGGGAGGCGGAGTTTGCAGTGAGCCGAGATCGTGCCACTGCACTCCAGCCTGGGCAACAGAGGGAGACTCTGTCTCAAAAAAAAAAAGAAAGAAAGAAAAGGAAAAAAAAGAAACATGAAGCTGAAGCTGAGATGCGCTTGCCACTCCAGGGGCATCCTGAGCCTTTGGAAAGAACCCATCGACAGGGTTCTCAGAAACATCAGAGCCACATTTTCTCAGGGGGGCCTCCCTGTCTCTCCAGAACCCAGCTCCCAGCACCCCTAAGGACAGAGCCTGCCCAGCTCTGCCCGTGTCACTTCACTGACCCCCACCCCTGCCAGGCTTCGCCCACACCTGCAGGGCCAGCACCCAACATGCTGAGAGAATGGGGACCCAGAACCAGATGAATACATCAGGGGAAACCGAATCCATTCTCTCTTGGGGTCCTGAGCCTCCCAGTGACAGAAGATCCAGGAGATGCGAGTGGGAGGTCGCCCTAACAGGATCTAACATCATGCTCCAGATTGCTGAAGGAACACAGATCGGTGCCTCCTCTCCTTGACTCTACCCTCCTCACTCCTTAGCACCAGGCCTGGCTGTACATCCCTGCCAAGGTGCAACTAAGACCTTCACCTGCAGCTCAGGGGTGCCCCAGACAGGAGCACAAGAGGAGGCTCATCCCCACCCACAACCCAGGCCGGAGCGAATCTGGCTGCCCAGGCTCTGTGTCTGGCTTCTGCCCCAGGACCTGAGCCCGTGTAAACTCAGGCTTCCTTGGCCTGCCCTCCCCAGGCCCAGGTTCTAAAGGTGTGCTCCCCACCACTTCCTTGTTGCTCCTCCACTTTGTCCCTAGAATTACAGCCCAGCTCTAGGTGGGACTGTGAAGCTCTGCCCAATGCTTTCCACAAGAAGTCAGATTCAGGCCCTTGTGCCTGAAGACTCCTTGTGAAGACTAGATGACACCTTCTCCAAGAGCAGCTAAGGAATCACCTTGGTTCCTCAGGCTGAGTATACATTTTCTGTACGGAACTTCAGAAAGAAATGGTCAACATTCATTCCTCACTTCACCAGAGAAAGAAGAAAATGTCACGTGCCTTTGATTCCCTCTTTTTACCAAGACTCCACTGAGATAAAACTCCTAACACAGAAACCAACACATATTCTCAACACTGGGTACCTGCTGGAGGTCCTGCCTTAGCCCCGAAGCCTCAGGTTCCCATGGGGACAGGTTGGTTGAGAACTGGTGGCCTAGCTCTCAGCCTGACACCCAACAGTATCCCCACCCAGGAGGCAGATGGTAGTGCAGGCACAGGTTCTGCAGGCTTTCATCTCGTGGAACGTATGTTAGAGGGTGTCCTCGTCACTCGCCATGCCCCAGAGGAATCAGCAGGGACATCAGGACTGAGAGAAGACATGGCACATGTGACCTCCTGTCCTGGAAACCCCACATCTTTCTGACTGTGCTGATCACACGGACAATATCTAGAAAAGTTCTGCTCTGCACAGTGTTCTGTCTACCAGGCCCACCCATCTGAGGACCCAGATGCTAGGAACACACAGATACTGAAGGAGCAACCACCTGCCTAAGGTGCAGGTACCCCTGCATCCATCTGTAGGAGGAAAAGCAAGAAACTACCATTTATATGGATTCTTTGGCCCTAAGAATGAACCACCTATTTAGGAGTAACACAGTGATGCAGAATGACCAGGGAGGGTCTTTCTCAACCATGCTCCCTGGTCATTCTGCATCACTACAATACACATAGAATCCCCAGAATACACACCTATTAAAGCCTCAATATTCTTGCTTCATACAAACATTTGCTTACAGATCCTGAACACACACACCGCCCCCCACCCCAGTGGTGTGTTGCTAACTGCTTAATAAAATGCTCTCCAGGGGGAAATAGGAAAGCCTAGAATTGTGATGCTTAAGTGGTGTAAGTATCTCAGCATGACTAATTTTAAACTACCAACCTAACGCCACTGAACACAGAGATGAGAAGAGATGTGCTGTGCCCAATGGCTACCCCAAGCCAGTACAAGCCAGCTCCAGCACAGCCACATCCTTTCATAGGAATATGTGTACACAATCTACCTGCACCCTGAGTAGGACCCACAACTCTCACCCCAAATATAAAAACAAAACCAAACGATGTACCTCCAGAACACAACCTCCTCATATATCCTGAACAGACACACACAACTGAGATAGGATAGGGTGGCCATAGCCTCCATTAAAGGAGAACAACCTTGCTAAACAGATGAAGAGAACAAACCATCCGACAGTGCACAAGGAGGTCCTGCAGTAAGGAGGTGGAAAAGAAGAAGGGGAAATCCCCAAATTCGCACAAGTGCGAAAACCCATGATTAGTGTCCCTGGGTTGACCAGTGCTCACTATAACAGTGAAAAACACACCCTTGGGTAGAGATTTAAGATGTTAATGATTCACCTGATATAGGCACTAGCATGTGCAGCAATAGCGCATGCACGTCCAGAGAACAGTCCAGAGAGTGCTTAACAGTGACACCCCTTCCCACCCCTTCATGAATAGTCATGTAAGGCTCCCATAAAGGAGGTTTCCCCAGTGTCAGTCAATGCTGTCTCACCTTTGAGCAGCCCACTCTGATCGGCTGTCAGAGTGTACATTCACTTTGCAGTAACCTCTCTTGCTTACTTTTACGTTGGACTCACTCTCAAAGTAAGACTTCTTTTGTGCAGCAAAGTCAAGAACCTGAACCAGCCCACCAGCAACACAACTGCTACCTGTACCCTAAATACACAGATGGCCTGCACCAATTATTACTTAAATTTGCAGACAAAACTCTACCTGCCCCAAATGCTCACCTCACTGCTAAAACCATATATGTACATATATACGTGCCCAAATACAAACACGTACAATGAACACAGTACCCATATATACCCATATATAGTGTGAACCCTGAAAGGGCTGATCATGAGTGGCTAACTGGGCCTAAACTCAAAATGGAGCCAAGCAGCCATTTGCTGACTGCAAGTCTCACACATTTACCCTGTTTCCTGCAAAAACCACGTACTTGTGTTACTTTGGGACTTTCACAGCTGTCTGTTCCTGTTTATGTCACCTGAATCAAGGGTTACCATTTCATCATATGGACTTAAGAAATAGACTGTGACTTGCATCAGCCAATCAGAAATAAACAAGCTTGTATCCCTCATTTGCAGAGTGAACCAGATCGGGAATCTGAGAACGAATTTCTCTGTAAAAGATAATACCTCTCTTTGTTCTTTCAGAGTGTATCTTTGTTTTGCACTGAAGGCTGGGACTCCTTGATTTGCAAACAGCTCAGTGGAATCAAATTTCTATTTTTTTCTTTTGTTATTTTTTTAAGAAAATCCTTTTCAGTAGATTTGTTAACAGTACATAATGAAAATCCTATAGGCATAGGCTCAAAAAAAAAAAAATCACAAGGTATACAACACTTGTGTCATGCATCACCCAGAAAAAGAATCACATACAATCCCACAGCTCTAAAATACAGGAATCCATGATTCTTGAATCCAAACACAACCTACACAGCCTCTCTGTTTCCAAATACATGCACTGAACCTCCCACATCTCCCAGAATACAAAACACAGAAGCCACATAAACTCAAATACACACAGAACCACAAACTATTTTTATCAAATACATATAAGTCCACCTCACGAACTCTGAGAACACACATACAAGTGGCAACACCAAATTCTGCGAGTATTACATTTCACAACAGACACAGAGGACCACTAAGTCTTAATATACCCCAAACCCCTCATATACACACTCACAAACTACCCATGAATACACACCTCACCCTCCCAGATAAAACCCATACAATACAAAAAAAAAAAAACCACAAAAACACCAATAATACTCTAATATACGCACACAACTTTCATATACCCATGGGCACATACAAACTCACACAAATATCCCCAATCCCTGAGTGTATAAATCCCCCGAAACACTATCCAATCAATATGCTACATCTCCGGAATACAACCTCCTCACCTCATCCCCTAAACATGCCCAAACACATGTACGAACATCCTAGCATTCTCCAAAGAAATACACTTTAAATACTAACAATCCCGTATTCTATAAACAGACTTAGATAATTCATCTATCTGCTGATAAATATACACACAAACCAGTATACACACCCAAGATGCACAGAAATATCTCCAGCATATCATTTATAAATACCCATAAAAACAGTTCCCAATCCCAAATTATCCCAATCTAGTATGAACCAGCTCCCACATTGCCAAGTACTAACCAATAACCATATCACATACCTCTAATACATATAAATTCAACTCTCCCACTCTCCTGTATAAAAAGAGAACCTCATCTCTCTATCAGACACACACATACTAAATTCCCAGAATATATAACCCTAATAACCACTTACTGAAAAACACAAGCACATAGCTCCACAAAACCTTCATCTAAACTGCCACGCCCTTGAACACACCCACAGACTCAATACTCATGTATTTGTCTACATGCCCTAAATATACCCGCGATTAACTAACACGCCACAAATATGCAAACATGCCACCTTATATCCCCAAATACACATACAGTTCCACAATACCTGCACATATGTAATCACACTTCCAAATGCTCACACAGAAATAACTCCTCCATCTTCCAAGACACAGAATCATATAAACTCCACCTCATAACTGCACACGTTCATCCTACCAGTCCCCCAGTAGACATGGATCTGCCCTCACACATTGAAATAGCCATACACACCCCCTGAAAATAATGAAAAGAAGCACGCATCACCATGCAACATGCCCTGAGTATACAAATGGTCTTCCTACATTTCCCAAATACGTAAACCAAACAGAGCGTACATCCACAAAATAGACACAAGCACTTTCTCTGTTATTGCCCATGTGCACAAGATAATTCTTCCAAATCTGCCAAACATTAGACAAATACAAATCGCCAACATTCATCTGAGAAAACACATGGAAAATACATCTTCACAACCCAAATCACAAATATATAACCCCAATTCTTCTGGTATACATATCTTACATCTCATATTCTCCAAATATAAACTCTCACTCCTACACACTCTCACAAAAACAGTTATGACCTTCTTTTTTAGGGGGCGGGGAATGGAGTCTCGCTCTGTTGCCCAGGCTGGAGTGCAGTGGCACGATCTGGGCTCATTGCAAACTCCGCCTCTTGGGTTCAAGTGATTCTTCTGCCTCAGCCTCCCGAGTAGCTGGGACTACAGGCATGCACCACCACACCCAGCTAATTTTTGTATTTTTAGTAGAGACGGGGTTTCACCATGTTGGTCAGGCTGGTCTCAAACTCCTGACCTCAGGTGATCCATCTGCCTCGGCCTCTCAAAGTGCTGGGATTATAGGTGTGAGCCACCGTGCCCGGCCCAGTTATGACATTCTTTAATCTGCAGTCTCCACACAGACACCACCAACCCACACATGTGAATACATATTAGATTCTCACCAATTAAATACATATCAAATTCCAAACTAAGAATTCATATAAACATATTTTCACATACACAAAACCACCCGCACAAATCTCACACCCTCCAAAATCCAAAATAAATCTTCCTGACATTCTCAAGTACACACTAACCCAACCACCCAAGATAACACACGTGTGTGCAGTAAATTTTAGATACATGTGTAGCCTACAATTTACAAATAATATACCACTACTTTTTATATGTAAATCCCACATAAGTAAGCGATTGTCATGGAAGCTTTTCTTGACTTTGGCCACACTCTTGCATCCACAACCAACTTGTGCTACCAAGCGAACAAACTATGACTAAAGGACTGTTCTTCCACTTTGCAGCTGCTCCTATCAGTGACAAATCAGCGTATTAGAACATGCATGCTGGCTGATCATTCTGATCAAGTCAACAAGCTTCACAACTTACTCAATGAGGTCGTCCGTGAGAACTTCACTGTTTTACGGGGACAGGAGCTACTTCTTTGCTGAACTGCATCACGGTTTCAACTGCTGAGGTTTTCTTCAAGCTTTTGCATTGTTTGGAATGTGAAAGGCACGGCCGAGACACACTTTGAGGTTCCCACTGCATTGTTACACCTCCCCCCTCACTTCAGGGCCAGGTGAGCAAGGGAAAGGAGCGCGGCCTGGGCGTCCCGCAGGGCCCCCACTAGGAAAGCTATGAACGCTCCCGCCTTGAGCACAGCCACAGGCCTGCTCTGGTCACAATGTGGGGTCGCCCCGTGGACACTGGTGACCAGTGGGAGCATGACCAGGAGGTGAGATTACCTTCTGATCACCCTTGGCTTTATTTTTAGGTAACACCAAGAAGGACGCCATGAGAGCGAAGGCCGGTGGGTCACCGCCCTTTGCTCTCGTGCTGCGCGTCTCCCTGCCATCAACCGCCGCAACCGGCGCTGGGAGCGGTTGAGGGCGGCCGGCCTCGCGCTGGAACCTCGCCCGCCTCAAGGCTCCTGCGGCGGCACACGGGGCAGGCCAGGAGCCCGCCCTAGGAGGGCCCCGCTGGAGATGTGGAAATGGAGGGACGCGGCACCTGGGTGCTTCCTGGGGCCAGACAACGCCCCCTCATTGGAACCTCCATGACCGTGCCTCTGAGAAACCAGCGCGTCCGCAACGATCACTCCTAATTTTCGGTAATACAAACCTGCAGTCCATGCACTTAGGTAACACCCTTGCTGAAAGGTTTACCTTTGGAGGGTTTATCCTAAAGCAAAGTATCCTCAAATTGCATGTCTTGCATTCCCTTTGGATGGCATTGATTTCATTCCTGCTCATGCCTTTCAAAAAATAGTATGCCCTGTTTTCCTACTCAGTCTGGAGGTTCCATTAAAGAGTATTTCTGGCAAAGATTTTTAGATCTGAAAACACACTCCAAAATATACTTTCTTCTGACTCCATTCCCAGAGTTTTTCCTACCGCATTCAAATGATTTCTAGAAATGTTTTTGTTGTAGCCTTGATCAATTTCAGTCGATAAAGCAGCAGATAGTAAGGGAACAATTCCACACTCCCCATCCCTGACTCTGCAACACAGTGCAGAATTCCAGTTGGCAATAAAAAACTAGTAGAGAAGCAACTCACTGACTTCAGTTTGTAATACCTTCAGAAGAAACTTTAATCGTCACATCCTTTCTGCTCATTTGCAGGATTCCTATCATCTGTCTCCACGTGATAACACTGAAGAGCCTTCACGTTGATGCAGTCCCAGGGCCTCAAGTGCAGAGTCTGAGAGCTCTGCAGGACACAGCATGGAGCCGCCATTCCTCTACTGGGTGGAGGAGCATGTGTCCTCTGAACAGGGGATCCAAGCCCTGAGATGTTCTTTCTCAGCTGTCAGTGCGGCCCAGGACTTTCTGTGGGGATGCTCAGACAGCAGGGGCCGGAGGACTTTTAGCCACCACCTCCCATGGCCAGTCTTCACAAATTACCTTTGGCTAATTTGACTGTCTCTCCTCCTGGGGTCTAGGACTTCAAACATGTACAGAAGCGATTGCAGAATTAAGACAAGACACTTCCACAATATATTTTTTGTATCACTGGCTCAGAAAAAGACTCATTCAAATCCTGTATCAAAGCCACGTGTGAGAATCTTGAGAAAGCATCAGCTGACTGACTTGACAAGGGAGGAAGCAACCAAAAATTCTGCGCTTCTTCAGTATCTGAGTATGATATTTTGCTTCAACATCCCTCTTAGATGAAGTTATTGATTGAAAATCATTTAAGTTTGCCCCATGGTAAAAGATCAAGTCCTCAGAAAGATCTCCAAAGTGTTTACGGTTTGTTTTGTTTTGGTAAGTTTACCATGATTTTGCTTGAATTGCTCTCCGTTGATCTTCTCAGCTAAGATGGAGGTAGAGTTGCACAGTGGAAGAGGGCTGCATGTAAGAAGGCAGTTCTGTCTCAGAGGACAAAAGGCCTGGGAGCACCCAGACAGTCACTGCATGGAGGTCACTCCCCTCCCAGTGGCCACTGTGGAGACATTTCACAGAAATGCTTGCTGGACCATTCAGGTTCAGAGTTGGGACAAAACCGAGAACTCATGGGGATATTGGACAGGAGTTAGGAAATGACCTTCTCACACAACTGGGGCAGTGGGGGAGAACCCTGGGCTTGAGACTTGCAATCCACCACTTGCCCCTGCCCCTGCCCCTGCAGTGTGGCCGCTGTTACATTTTCCTGCAACTCTGCCTTCTTGAGTCCAAATGTCTTCAAAAGGGGCAAATGCTTCGTAAGTGCCGACAGGGTGTGTTTCAGTGAATGTTTGCAGTGTGCACCGGTCTGGCTGAAGGCCTCTTCCCTTCCCCAACACCCTCCCATCGTGCAAAATTACCCTGCCCAGCAGGGAGTGACTTGTGTGTCTCAGAAGATTTTGTTGCTGTGCTCTGAGTTCTCACTCCTCATCTCCTTTGACCAGTTTCTTCTAATACTCCCCTTGTTCACAACACAGAACATGAGTGCTCTTTCCTATCATTTTGACACTAATAAACGGACAGTGATTCTCAGTGTGGAAATGAGAATGAAGCTTTTTTTAAAGACAGGCTACAATAATTCCCATGCAGAGAACCACATGCGATGACACTGGATTCCAAACAGCAAGAACGTATGGTGAAGATGAGGCCAACAGTGAGCTGAGAGAGGCCAGCCAGGGTGTGTTTCAGTGAAGATGAGAAACAATCAGATAACACCTGTTTCCTCCAGGAAAGAAAATGTGGCCAGGGAAAAGAGATGGGAGGAAGGCTGGTCATTGCCTATTCCACTGTGCACAGTTTGAATTTGGAGCCATGAAAAGTATTGCTTGGTTAAATTAAAATCATTCAAAAGATAAAACATAAACATTTAACACCAGCACAATATGCTGGGAAACAAAATGAAAGGATTTCTGGTCTCGGTGCTGTAGGTCACATAGCCACTCTTTCCTGGATTGAGGCTTTCCAGCAAAGGGGCTGGGACGTAAGGCTGGCCTGCTGGTGTGGACAGAGATTCCAGCAACATGCATGACCTGGGGGTACAAGGATTGCTTCCTAAACAATGATAAGCACACAGCCACCTAATAGTCTGGATCGGCTGAGACCATCCTGATTTCAAACACCCAGTCCCCTTGCCTTCCTAAGAACCCCTGTGTTTCTCAGACTGAAAATGTGTTTTGAACTTTGTTCACGAAGTGAGGCCGCTGTTGAAATTCGTCAAGACTGGGAAAGAGCCAAAGTGGGAAGGAGCATGGGTTGATTGGCACAAAAGTAGGTCTGCTGATAAAGAATGGAAGTAAAGGGGCCATCAGGTAGAAGCTTTTGCTGTGAGTCAGAAGGACAATTTAAAAGTTGCCTAAAGAGGCACACGCCATCTCTGCTGCTGCCTTCCAGTTGGAAGGGAAACTCAGGTTCTTGCCTAATGGCCGAAGCCCTTCACAGAACGTCCCCCACCCCTAACAGCTGCCCACTGCCCCTCCCCCTCTGCAGAATGTCTGGGGTCCTATGTTCCAGGAACCTGTTTACTTTCAAATTTTCCCTGTTTCAGTTGGACTCAGGAGCATCTGGTGAGCCAGGTCACTCTCTGGGTCTTACCCTTGGCTTTTCTTATTGCGGAAACTGCCAGACGGCGGTGGTCAGTGCCCAGCCTGAGGGGATGGCTTCGAATGGAGGTAAGCCTGTAGGGATGAGGGCATTATCTGAGTCTGCCATGCCTCAACTCCTTAGGAATTCAAATTTGACACTGCCCCGGGGACAGTTGATAGGGCTGATGTTGAGGAGGGAGGGAAGACTGGATGTCCCCAAGGACATCACACCTGGGGATGGCCATGGCACCCTGAGTCTGTGTTTAGGGAGGACGGCCTCTTAGAGGTGGAACAAGATGGCTGGGGGAATACACCGTGTAGGAGAAAGGACAGAGTGGATGGATTGATCCTTTCTAGAAGGAGACAGGTCACGTCATTGTGTGTTTGTAGGGAGTGGTGGGATCATGTTGTGCTGGTGGCCCCGGGAGGATGATAGGCAAGCCTGAACCCTGTGCCATATCTTCAGGCACCTGGAAGGTGCCCTTCCATAGTGTTCAGAGAGATTTGGACTGGAGTTTTCTAGATCTTAGGGAGGAGTGGGGAGAAGTGGTCTCAGCCAGAAAACTGTTGGGTGGGTTGGCTGTGACAGAGCATGTAGTGACAGCCCCTGGGTGGGCGAGGCTGGGGGCTGCTGTAACTGCCACAGCCCAGAGCCCCTCAGCTCTCTCCCTAGAGATGGCTTCTCTGTCAGTTCAGGTAGCTGTTGGCTTTGATTTAACAGGGGTGGGGGCAGATGAGGAAGTTCAGGCAACACAGGGCCTGGGTTTCCTGAGTTGTTCTGAATTGTTTGCCCTTTTGTGGAAGCTCAGGTCTTCAGACCCACTTCCTCTTGTCTGCTAGCTCATGGCCTGTCCTCTGCACTTTGTGTTACTGTGGAGATGAAGAATTTGCTCCTATTCCATTTATACTACCTCATGAACGGGGGGCAGGTGTGGATTCTTGCTGGTTCTCAGTGGAAGGGTCTGGAAAGGCTGGTTTCCTTTTCAGTAGAGGAAGGAGAGTAGCGCACGAATAGGAAGATGGTTCTCTTATTATTATTATTCAAGTTAGGATATGTGTCCTGAATGATGAGGTGCATGTGCTGTATCCCTTATTCCCCTTGACTAGAGACTGCATGAGGTCCTATTGAACAGGGATGAGTTCCAGACAACTTTGCCTCACCCGGCCCATGGCCCAAGAACCCCTGGTTTTTGGTTGGTCACTATGTTCAGTTATTAGGAGCTCAAAGGAGAAGGGCCAGGGATGGGCTCCTTGTCCCACTACCTATTGTATCATGACCAGCAGCTGTGAAAATCCCTAGACACCTCCCCTGTTAGCTCTGCTGCTCGCCATTTGCTGGCTGTGTTCTAATCGTGTGTGGCTTTTGCTGGCTATGCAGTGACACTGTCTCAGGGGACTCCACCACTGCCTCTCAGACCTGCTCCCTGGGAACAGAGCTTCCTGAGTGGCAGCCGGGACCATCGAGTACTGCGGAAAGGGTGGCCCGAATCTGACCCCTATTTAGCACTTGCTGTGGGTGGTGCCAGGACAATCACTTGCATGCTGGGCATGACGAGTTATGGATTATCTTCAGGGTTCCTAGGGCGCTGGCTTGGGAAAGATTTCCATCCAGTGGTTTTGTTTTGGTATGTCTGAGCTGGGAAAGAAAGGGGTTTACAAGAGCGTCAGGAAAAGGAAGATTGAAGAGGAGATGGGGCCATAATATTCGGAAGCTTCTGGCTTCCTGTCGGCCTTCTGAGTGCGGAGCACTGCCCTGGGGTAGGCCCCTCACCTGTTGCTGAGCACGCTGAGGACCACCAGGCCGCTGAGAGACTCATCCCTGACCCATGGCTTGGGAGATGCCTGTGAGGCTGACAGGGTCTGCCAGGGACACCCGAGGGAGACGCTCGGGCAGCAAAGGCTTGGCTGTTACTTCTTGGGAGACAGGGGTCAGGGAGTCTTGGTGACCGGGGCCAGGCTCTCTAGTGGAGCGACTCTCCGTGGAGGAACAGAGCATCCGATGCACACTCAGGGACATTTGCAAGCTGCAGTTTCCCTGTCATACGCCCTTAGCTGTTGGGACTCCCCTCTGATTCCCCAGTGACTAGTGTGGACCTGGAGACCCCAGCTCATTCACCTCTTTCCTTTGTCTCCACAGCATACCCAGTGCTGGGACCGGGCGTGACCGCGAACCCTGGCACCTCCCTGTCTGTGTTCACGGCTCTGCCCTTCACCACACCCGCTCCCGGCCCAGCACACGGGCCGCTCCTTGTGACTGCAGGGGCTCCTCCAGGCGGCCCTCTGGTGCTGTCTACCTTCCCCAGCACACCTCTGGTGACAGAACAGGATGGCTGCGGCCCGAGTGGGGCCGGGGCTTCCAACGTCTTTGTCCAGATGAGGACAGAGGTGGGGCCTGTGAAGGCCGCTCAGGCGCAGACCTTGGTCCTAACTCAGGCCCCCCTCGTCTGGCAGGCTCCAGGCGCCCTCTGCGGAGGTGTTGTGTGTCCACCTCCCCTACTCCTGGCAGCTGCTCCTGTGGTGCCTGTTATGGCTGCCCAGGTGGTTGGGGGCACCCAGGCCTGTGAGGGAGGCTGGTCCCAGGGCCTTCCTCTTCCACCACCACCACCACCGGCTGCCCAGCTGCCCCCCATTGTGTCCCAAGGGAATGCTGGGCCATGGCCACAAGGGGCTCATGGAGAGAGCAGCCTGGCTTCCTCCCAGGCCAAGGCCCCGCCAGATGACTCCTGTAACCCCAGGAGTGTCTATGAGAACTTCCGACTCTGGCAGCACTACAAGCCCCTGGCCCGGAGGCACCTTCCCCAGAGTCCTGACACCGAAGCGCTTTCGTGCTTCCTCATGTGAGTGTCCTCGGGGCATTGGAGCTGGTCCTGCAGCTCACACGTAAAGAGGCTGCTGGATGGACGGGAGGTCACGCTGTTCAGGGGAGCTTGCAGGGCGGTTGTGAGGGTGATGGGCTGCACTATGGGAAGGTACATTTTCAACCATATTAATCTGGCTGCGGCTCAGGACAGACTGTCAGGGGCCTCATCTCAACTGCCCGTCACTGTCCCGTGAGTCCGGCCAATCCTTACTTTCAATAATTTTCACAACAATGTTTACAGAAGACCCAGGTCAGAGAGGGTTCCTGGTGTGACGTGAGCTACGGTTTGGGTTTAGGTCTTTGAGTACACACCCCAGTGCCTCCCCTTTAACCCAGTATTGATGGCCAGGAGCACCTCACATGGGGCCGGGGGGAGGAGCTGCAGGGCCCAGCAGGAACCTGGCACATGCCTGCAGTTCCGCTGAGGTCCAGTTAGCACAGCGGTGGTGGAGCCTGCATAGGGGGATGGTCTCGGGCCCTGCACTGGGGCCGATGCCGGGCAGGTATTTGCATCTTCACCCTCAATCCCTCCTAGAAAAAGGGACAATGATGCTTCATTCAGAGGATGGTGAAGAGATAACTTGAGCTCACATATGACATGCATAGCACAGTGCCTGGCACATGCTATGACACATTACATGACAGCAGTTACGATTACTGTCCCCATTACTATCATTATCAAGACTAGGCCATCTAGGAGAGCACTCCCCAAAGCCACGGGCTCCAGTGATAGCTCTGAGTGCACCATGAGTCCAGCAGCCCAGGGCCATGGACTGTGGTGACTGTGAGGCAGCAACGTCAGCATCTGGGAGAGTTTGTGGTTTCATTCCCAGTCCCTGCCTCTCTCCACCCTGCGGTGCCTCTGTGACCCTGTGTTTCCCGCTGATGAGCAAACGGGAGCTTGAGCACATCCACCGTGCAACACACTGGCCGTTCCCCTAGGGAAGTCCCCTGCCTGGGGTGTAGGTGAAAGGTGGCCCCATTTTCATCCCCCAAAATCTCGCTGTTCCCGCACCCTGGAACTGGTTGCATTCCTCCTTGGAGCGGAGTCCCGGTGCACTGGGGACCCTGATTCTTGGGGTGGAGCTGCCCCAGGCTCACAGGCCTTTGCCATGGCTCCTGTGGGAATGTGGGATCTGGACCTGCTGCTTGCAGTGGCGTGGACACCGCTCTGCTTTGGTTCTGGACGTGTGCTCCTGCTCCTCATGCTCCAGGGCCCTGAGGCTACGTCCCCAGGGGCTGCCTTGCTCCAGAGTCCCCAGGAAGCCGGTTAAATGCTCAGTCTTGGGGCCCTGGAACCTGCACTTTAACCCTCACCCCCAGGTCATTCTGTGTGCACGCTGTCTCAGTCAGCTCAGGCTCTGCCGTAACGAATGCCGTAGACTGGGTGCTTTATCAAGACACATTCATGTCTCCCAGTTCCAGAGGCCAGAAGTCCCAGATCAAGGTGACAGCAGATTGGGTGTCTGGTCAGGGCCCTCCTCCTGGCTGGAGAGAGCTGTCTCTGGCTATGTCTCCTCGTGGCTGAGAGCAAGAGCCCTGGCGTCTCCTTCTGCCCTTATCAGGGCTTGGATTCCATGACTGGGACCCACGCTCATGACCTGCTTTAACCCTGATTGCCTCCAAATACTGACACACTGGTGCTGAGGGCTTCAGCACAGGAATGTTGGAGACACACATGTTCCACCCATAGTACTGAGTCCACTTCTCAACACTGAGGACTCGAGGGGCAGTCGGAGAGGCCACTTGGTAGCTTGTGTTGATGTTTGATCTTGGGGTTGTGTTCTGGGGCCTGAGGAGCCCACATGGGGGAGAACAGGACAGGGACAGATGGCGGGACAGGTGTGGGGAGGACAGGGGCCAGGTGTTGGGACCAGGTGGGCTTGGGATGAAGGGTGGGCTTATAGACTGAGACTGACTGCACTGGTTTACAGCCCAGTTCTCCGATCGCTGGCCCGGCGGAAGCCCACCATGACCCTGGAGGAGGGACTGTGGCGGGCCATGCGGGAATGGCAGCACACGAGCAACTTTGACCGGATGATCTTCTACGAGATGGCGGAAAAGTGAGTCTGGGGTCCTGGGAGCAGGGCCCGCGTGGCAGGGTGAGAGTGAATGACAGAGGCCCGGTGGCCGTGGTGGCTTCTCAACGTGGAGTATGAGGAGGGTGTGGAGAAACCCAGGATACTCTGGGCCCCTGGCTCCCTCAGGAAGCTGCTCCTGCCACCTAGAGTGTTCTGGGGTCTCTGTCCTGGCCTATTGGGAAGCACCCCCTGCCTGGCCTGGGGCCATCCCTGCCTTGACACTGGAGGTCATGGCAGGAGCAGCCAGCATCACAGCCCAAAGTGGGTCACCTCTAGCTGTGGGGATGGGGAGAAGGGGCGCTAGTGACTATGGACAAGAGTAGGGTGCAGGCTCCTCACAGCAGTGGCCAGAAGTCGGTTTTCTCCCATCCCAGCCTGGCCAGGGAGTTGGGTTGGGGAGATCTGCACCTGGGACACCATGGGACCCATCTCTGGCCTGACTGCCTTTGCTCCTGGGCAGTCCCCTCCATGAAGGCAGACAGATAGACAGCAGCCTCAGGGGAAAGGGGCCCTGTCCTCTGAGCTCAGCTTTTGCTTCCTCCTGACCAGGAGTCTCCCAGGCCTCGTGCCCCTGGGTTATCTTTCAGGGGCCCACAGTCCTAGCCTCAGGACTCCTGCATCTGGGCATCATCCCTGATGCCTTCTGCCATAAATCCCACCCCTGGCCAGCTGAAACCTGGAGGAGGGGTCCCCCGAGACCCTCCTGGACCTCGTGGCCCTGAGTTGAGTCAGGAAGCCCCGTTGATGCCATGGGCTCTGCAGGGGCCGGGTGAGGGAGGGTGAGCCCGGAACTCTGGGAGCAGTTTTCTCCTGGGACTGGGGGATGGGACACAGTGAGGGCCTGGACAGCCCACCCGAGGCACTCCCTCCTATCCCTGCCCTCGGCCGCTGCCTGGTCCTGCGGGGAGGGGGCCTGGACCCTCTCAGCACAGCCTGGGCCTCCTTCACCGCCAGGTTCCTGGAGTTTGAGGCTGAGGAGGAGATGCAGATTCAGAAATCGCAATGGATGAAGGGGCCCCAGTGCCTGCCTCCTCCAGCCACACCGAGGCTTGAACCTCGAGGACCCCCGGCCCCTGAGGTGGTCAAGCAGCCAGGTATGGCTTCCCACATTCCCACAGGAGCCATGGCAAAGGCCAAAAGGGCCAAGGGAGGCCACTGTCCCCACACCCCATGCTTCCCTTCGAGAGGGGGATTTGCTCCCTCCAACAGGACAGTTTCCAGGAGCATATGTTCGGTATTGACCTGGTCAAGTTTCCTAGCTACTCTCTCCCCTCGCCTGTCCAAAACTCCACATATGCTCTGCCCAGGAAGCAGGGATGAGCGGGGAGAGTACACGGCATATTGGTGGCTCCAAACTTCCTCCCAAGCGATGCTGTCTCAGATGTGCCCCTCCTGCCTCCTCCGGGGGCGCTGCGGTTCAGGTGGTCCTGACCCAGCTGGGACCCACTTCACATCCCCAAGCCCTGCCCTCCCCTGTGTGGTGCGAGCAGGAGGAGCGGCCCTCACCACGCCCGTCCTCCTCCCTCTCTGCCTCAGTGTACCTTCCCAGCAAGGCCGGCCCCAAGGCCCCGACTGCCTGCCTGCCACCACCCAGGCCCCAGAGGCCAGTGACCAAGGCCCGCCGGCCACCACCCCGGCCCCACCGGCGAGCAGAGACCAAGGCCCGCCTGCCACCACCCAGGCCCCAGAGACCAGCAGAGACCAAGGTCCCTGAGGAGATCCCCCCAGAAGTGGTGCAGGAGTATGTGGACATCATGGAGGAGCTGCTGGGGCCTTCCCTCGGGGCCACGGGGGAGCCCGAGAAACAACGGGAAGAGGGCAAAGTGAAGCAGCCACAGGAAGAGGACTGGACGCCCCCAGACCCGGGCCTCCTGAGCTACATTGACAAGCTGTGTTCCCAGAAAGACTTCGTCACCAAGGTGGGCTGGCCTGGAGTGCTGGGGTCTGCTGGATTCCAGGGGCTGGCACTCCCAGGTCCTTGGAATTAAGCTCTGTTCCTTAGCTACTCAGCAGTGTGTGTATTTCCATGGATTTGAGTGTCTGTGTATGTGATTGTGTGTGTCTGTGTGTTGCTGTGTGTTTGTGTCTGTGGTTTGTTACTGTGTGTCTTTGTGTGTCTGTGTAGGTGTGAGTGTGGAGTGTGTACGTTACCTGTGTCTGTGTCTTTTCCTGTGTCATATGTGGGTCTGTTTGTGTGTCTGTGTGTGGTTTGTGTGTCTCTGTCTGTGTGTGTGTAGCTACCAGGTCTGTGGTCTGTGTCTGTAGCTGGTGGTCACCATGATATGAGACAGCCCCAGGAGGGTGGGGACGGGGCGCTCGCTGCTTTCTGCATCTCCTCCAGGTGTCCTTGGCTCCAGGTTACTCCCTGCCCAGGAAGCTCACGCCTTCTTCCTTCTGTTTCCAGGTGGAGGCCGTCATTCATCCCCAATTCCTGGAAGAATTGCTTTCCCCAGATCCACAGATGGATTTCTTGGCCCTAAGCCAGGACCTGGAGCAGGAGGAAGGACTCACCCTTGCCCAGGTACCCCAGGGGCAGGAGGGACCTGGCACACAAGGCCCACCTGATTGTCTAATCCCCCCCGCTGGGGATGCTCGGCTTCTTGGGGAGCCACTCTGGAGTGGGAAGATGCAGGTTCAGAGGGAGTAGGATGGACAGGAGCCAGGGAGGGGAGTCAGCATGCAAGCTGTGGTGAGGCCCAACGGGAGGCCCGGCAGAGCCACACCCTCTCTCTTTGACATAAAGCCCAGCTGCCTCAGGCTTCCCTACCTGCCGCCTAAGTGCCCTGGTCTCCACCACCCTGGGCCCTGCTCACACCTGGGGCAGTGCCAGTAAGTGCCCCCTTTCCTCCCGCAGCTAGTGGAGAAGCGCCTCCCACCCTTGAAGGAGAAACAGCATGCGAGGGCAGCCCCTAGTCGTGGCACAGCCCGGTTGGACTCAAGTTCTTCTAAGTTTGCAGCTGGCCAAGGAGCAGAGAGAGACGTCCCTGACCCCCAACAAGGGGTTGGCATGGAAACCTGCCCACCCCAGATGACTGCCCGGGACTCTCAGGGACGAGGCAGAGCACACACTGGCATGGCCAGGTCCGAAGACTCTGTTGTGCTTTTGGGATGTCAGGATTCCCCTGGGCTGAGGGCTGCCTGGCCAACCTCTCCTCCCCAGGACCACAGACCCACCTGCCCTGGCGTGGGTACCAAGGATGCCTTGGATCTCCCTGGAGGGTCTCCTGTCAGGGAGTCACATGGGCTGGCTCAGGGGTCAAGTGAGGAGGAGGAACTCCCCAGCCTGGCCTTCCTCTTGGGTTCCCAGCACAAGCTTCTGCCCTGGTGGCTACCCCAGAGCCCTGTCCCTGCCTCGGGCCTTCTCAGCCCAGAAAAGTGGGGACCCCAGGGAACTCATCAGTCCCCATCTGCTGAGAGAAGAGGCCTCAACCTAGCACCTTCTCCTGCCAACAAGGCCAAGAAGCGACCTCTCTTTGGAAGCCTGTCCCCTGCTGAAAAGACACCCTACCCAGGGCCTGGGCTCAGGGTCTCTGGGGAGCAATCCCTGACTTGGGGGCTGGGTGGCCCCTCACAGTCTCAAAAGAGAAAGGGTGACCCCTTGGTCTCCAGGAAGGAGAAGAAGCAGCATTGTAGCCAGTAGGGGCTTCTGAGCAGGCTCTCTGGGGCCAATCCCCAAGGATGGGGCTCTGGCATCCGATGCCCCAAAGCGGTCAAAAGCTTCTTCTCCCCCAGTGCTGATCTTGCTGGGCCTTAGCTTTGGAGGGTAGGGGAGGGAGGGGAGGGAGAGGGTGGCTGAATGGGGAGGGCAGGAAGGGAGGGTCTGGGGGGAAGGGGCTGGGGAGTGGGGGTGGGAAGCAGTGCGTTGGGGGCCTCGTGTGTAAGTGTGAATAAATGTAGTTGTCTTGGAAAATGCTCTTGGGGCTGCTGCCTCTGTCCTCGGTGCTGTGCTGCTCCGTGGAGGGTGTCTGTGAGGGAGGGCAGAGGAACTGGCAGATGCCAGGCTCTGGGAACCCACAGGGGCCGGCCCCACTCTTTCCTCCTGATGTAGGGAGCCCCTTCAGATGCTCCAGGGACTGACAGATGCTGAGGAAGCCCTGATCCCTCCCACTACCGACTCACAAGGCCCTGCCTGCTTTAGGGAGGCTTCTTGGGGCCCCCCATCGTCATCAGCATCCCTGGAAAATCCTGGGATTGGAGAGAGCTGGCTGGCTCTTGTTCTGCTCGGTGGGAGCTGAGGAGAAGGCAGCCACCTGCAACATGGACATGGGGAGAGGAGGCTGCTCCTGCTTAACCCTCATCAGGAAGAGCGCGGGCACTGGGCTGAGGGGAGACGTTGAGGTGACCATCCACACAGGTGTGTTTGGGATACGATGATGGGTGGGGAGCAGGGGAAGTCCTTCTGCCTGTTTCTGGGCAGGAGAGAGTCTTGTCCAACTAGCTAAAGCAGATGCTCCTTGCTGTGGCCACAGGGACTGGCCTCGGGGCCCTCAAGGTCCTGCATGGAGCCCCCCACAGCTATGATTCCCTTCCCATATGATGACTGAACTCATGTGGAATTGATGTAGACACAGATTTACATTGGTTTCTAAAACAGTTCCCTCCCAACACACCATCACCAATGGGAACAAACATGTCCAGTCCATCAGGCGCAGGGTGGGTGTTTCTGCTGGTTCCAGGGCCCGGAGGAGCTGGGGCCCAGGCCAAGAGGGGCCGAGGGTCAGCCGCCCTTCTGCCAGGCACAGACCCCAAGGGCAGAGCAGGGGCTGCCTGGGATGTGGCATTGGCTGTCTGGGAAGTGACCTGGGAGTTGGGGGCTAGGTGTTCGCCAAAGGGAGACTTCCAGAGTCTACGAGTGAGATGAGGACTGCATCAGGAGAGGGACCGAGGCTGGGGAGGATGCTCTGCTCTTTCCCAGGTTGTCCTGTCCTCCCAATCTCTGCTGAACTGCCCTCACCCCATGGGCCAACTTCTGCCCCCCTTACCCCTAACCCACCTCTTAGAATCTCAGATCCCAGCATGGACAGGACCCGGCACCCACCCTGGTTCCCTCCTGGCCAACACCTTCTTCTCCACGGTCTGAGTTCTGATTCCTCCCCCAGGGCGCTTATTGGCTCAGGACCCCTGTGACTGCCAGGGCACTGGTCCCAGCACTGCCTGCGTGCAGAGCTGTGGTCACGGCGCTGGGGGCTGGCCCAGCAGCAGAGGCTGGTGGGGCAAAGCTGTCTGGTACACGGTGGCCTGGCCCCTCGGCCAAGTGACAAAGGGAGCCATGTTTGGGTCCTCTCTGGCCCCATCTGCCCACAGAACACAGCAGTCAGCCTGACAGATGCCCCTCTGCCCCGTCCCTTCTGCTCGATGTGGGCAGTGTCGGAGGCCTGCTGTCTTCTGTGGCCTTTGGGAAGGAGAGTTTATCTTGGCAGGGCTTCCCCAGCTCAGTGCACATCAGGCCCTCGGGGAAAATGTGGGGAGCGAAGAGTCACTGGTGGGTGATGTGGGCAGCTCCCGTGACTCCTCTACATTCAGGGCCATCCTCAAGAGATAAGGTAGCACTGCCCCTTTGCAGGGTTTAGGAATGTTAAGTGAGCCGTGTTTGAAGGGAACATGGTCCATACTCTGGCGTGTGTGGGTGCCCAGCCAACTTCCTCACCTAAGGGTGAAAGTGACACCTTGGGGCTCCTGCTGGTTACCCCACTGGCTGTTGTCTATCCCACTGTCCCTGTCCTTGTCTTGGCTGAGCCATTCCTAGGAAGCAGAACTTGTGCTTCCTCCACCTCTGTGTCCCACCTGAGCCCTACAATCTGCCCCTAAATGGGCACAGTGGGGCTGACTGGGGGGCTCTGGTAGACTGAACATACGTCCCCCGCCCAGTTCCTGTGCTGAAGCCCTAACCCCCAACGTGATGGTATTTGGAAATGGGGCCTTTGGGAGTTATTCAGGGTTAGAAGAGACCATGAGGGTGGGGTCCTAATGATGGGATTAGGGCCCTGGTAAGAAGCAGAGACCCCAGAGCTCTCTCTCTCCCTGACACGAGGACACAGTGAGAAGGCGGCCATCTGCAAGCCAGAGAGAGCCCTCACCAGAACCTTGCCCACTGGTATGCTAACCTCGGACTTCCAGCCTCCAGACTGTGACAAATACATTTCTTTTTTTAATATGTGCCACCACCCCCAAGTCTATGGCACTTTGTCCTAGCAGCCCTATGTGACTAGGACAAAGTCCATAATCTCAAGAACTTCCTTCATGACTGGTATCTGGAAACCGTGCATCAGAGCCACGGGAAAGAAAGGCTCGGCCCTTTACAACTGTCAGCACACCTCCACCCCAAGTGCAGTGTATCACACATGAACCAGGGGAGCCTGGGATGCAGTGAGTTGTGCTTCAGTTAATGTAGAGATCTTCACTGAACCACACATAACCATTGAAGTAACCTGCTGTTTACAGTCTCCATCATGCTCTGCCAAGAGAGGTATTTTACAGTGACAAAACTTCTCTTCTGGTGCCCTGACACATCCTAGGACTTTGATGCTGGTAATTCTTTCCCCCCAGCAAATGTTGGTTCTAAATCCACAGAACTACTTGAGAAACTAGATGCAAAATTGTAGTAGGTTTAAATTATCAATACTCTTTTTTTTTTTTTTTTTTTTTTTTGAGGCAGAGTCTCTCGCTCTGTCACCCAGGCTGGAGTGCAGTGGCGCGATCTCGGCTCACTGCAAGCTCCACCTCCCGGATTCACGCCATTCTCCTGCCTCAGCCTCCCGAGTAGCTGGGACTACAGGCGCCCACCACCACGCCCGGCTAATTTTTTGTATTTTTTAGTAGAGACGGGGTTTCACCGTGTTAGCCATGATGGTCTCGATCTCCTGACCTCTTGATCTGCCCGCCTCGGCCTCCCAAAGTGCTGGGATTACAGGCGTGAGCCACCGCACCCGGCCTATCAATATTCTTTATATGTTTTGCTATTCCCATTTAAAAGAGGGAAACTGTAGCTATACACTTTCTAGTCATGTTCTTTGGTGATTTTCCTGCACAAACCAACATTGTTGTTCAGAAATATAATTTCCCCTAGAATTACCCTCCATCCAAAACATATTGTTATTCTATCACAGAGATAAATAATGGCTTTCCAAATCCTGGTTAAAAAAACCAAACACTCTCTTCTTCTCTGTATTTTTCCGGAACAGGCATAGATGATGGCAATTGTGTTTTACCATCTTTTTTTTTTTTTTCTGAGATGTTAGTTTTCTAGGATATGGAAATCTTAGGATTCATAAAAAATGAAACAACTTTTTGAAATGTTAGTTTTCCAAAATTGGACAATCTTTTTGAGCCATTCTATTTTTAGGACTATTGGTTAGCTGACTTTAGAGCCTTTAATGTTTCGTTATTATTTCAAACAATAGAGAACTTTCCTCCCCCCCACGTTTTGAGACAGGGTCTGGCTCTGTCATGCAGGAGACTGTCTGTAGTGCAGCGACACAGTCTCAGCTCACTGCAACCTCCGCCTCTTGGGCTCAAGTGATCCTTCCACCTCAGCCTCCTGAGTAGCTGGGACTGTAGGTGCAGGCCACCACATCTGGCTAATTTTAAACAATAGCGAACTTCCAAAACAAAAGTTCTTTATTAATTCTTCAAGAAATCTGTTTTTTACTTAGTCGATTAATGTCCATTTCATGTTGCCTCAATAGCCCATGTATGAATCACTCTTCTTGCAGATTTTGTTCAGTTTTGTTGTATGTAGACCCATCTTTCTTTGATTGAGTTGGTTTCTTTGATTGAGTTGATTTGTCTGTATTATATACCAGTCAGTATTAAAACCCAAACAATACCTAAGCCAAAAAAGCAATGTAGGCACCTGTAAACTAACACACTTGGTTGCAATTGCTTCAGTAAAAAGGACAGTTTACACTCAAATTGAAGCAACCATTATGTTTCCACAAACAACATTCCTTATTATCCCACCTCACCTTTTCATTCTTCCTATGCTGTCTAATCTGATTCTGTACAAGAGATAAGGCAGGTACTGCTAAATGATAACTTAGATGCAGGGGCCATCATGAAAATATTCATCCCATATCTTACATTAAGCAAACTACTAGCAACTGTTTGTTAAAAAGTATAAATGAATAAATGAAAATAGGACAGATAGGCAGTGTGGGAAGCTAAAATATGGAAGTGTTATTGCTTTGCTTTATGTGGTATAATGATCTGATTTTATCTTCCCAGCTCTCCCAGGAAGTATGCAGAATAATATTTATCTCATATTGTGGGTGTGGCAATCAAGACAGAGAGGCTAGATGCTTTACCTAAAGTCATCCAACAAATATTTGGTAGAACCAGTGCTAGAATGCAATAAATGGAAACAGAGTTTATTTCGGTGTTTCTTTTCCTGATACTTGCCCTATTCCTGACAAATGAATAATGGCTTCAGAAGGTGTCACTTGTTGCTAGGGCTAAAAGGATAAATTTTACCTGTAATACCGTAGCACTTACTATTAGTTAACGACCCAGTATTTATTCTCTTTTTTTCTTTGGAATCTTTGGAATGTGTAAATATTTGCCTCCCAGGAAGCTCACTTTATCCTCTCCTCAGGAAAAAATCCTGATTTGGTCTGAACCAATCTTGGTAACTATCTTTCTTGCCAGTTTTGTTTTAGGAATGGGCACGCAACTCAGTTCTAGCCAATGAGACATGAGGAGCAGTCTACTGGGGAGTTTCTGGGAAAGTTTGTTTTTCTTGTTCTAATAAACAAACAAATAATGGGGTCACTGGATTGGAGATCCTATTGAGTCAAAGGAATATTGAATTTGACACAGTAGAATAGTCTGGAAGGAAAGGAAATGATATTCAGTAAATGAAATGCTGAAAATTGATATTATGAAGGTGGCGCAGTAGTTGTTATTGATTAAATGAAACAGTTGAGATTAAGAAAGTTTAGCCAGGACAAGTTATATAGCACAAATCATTTCAGGTAAGGAAGTTAAAAAAAAACCCTGAGAGGCTAGGAAGTCCTGGCTCCAAACTCCTGCTCCTGCTGGACTTGAGCCCCACTAGCTTCTCATCTTCCACTAATCTATGCACCCCTCCTTTCCCACTCCTCAAAAGCCGAGCTCACTCAACAACTTTAATTTTATTCAAATAAATTATTTACACAGACATTTTGTTTTTAGTAGATGTTATTAGTGATTAGGAAAAATGAAAGAGATTGACATCTTTCAATTGACAGAGATGCCAATAATTTTAAGTATAATTTTTTAAACACTTTGTTCTTAAAATGAGAAAGAAATGCAAGGAAGGGATCACTACCCTGGGCGTTAGCATGTCCGAATATGATAACTAAACCTGCTGCAATTATCTTGCAACCAGGGAGGAGCTAGCTTGAAAATAAAGCCAACACAGATGACAAGCAGAAAGTGGAAAGAACCTAAGTCATTGATGATGCTATTGAGCTGATGAATTAAACCTGGAGTGTATGTTCCATGGGCTTCTGTAAGGAATTAAAATATTTTTACTGTTTAAACCAGTATTTCATTGTTTTCTGCAGAAATCCTAATTGGCATAAAGAAACTATTGACCGACTAACCCCACTGCAACCTCACCTGACCCCTTAGGATGTCCTTTCATGATTTTCTTGATTTTGTTGAAGTTATGTATTGACAATAATGGAAAATCACAGAAGGTGATTTTCTGATCCCAACTCCTTAGCTATGACCTTGTGTCTCTAGCTCATGATCATGGTTTATGAAGCACGGGAAGGACTGGGAAAAGTAGAAAGTAGGTAGGTAAGATGAGATGTCTGATGATGGAGGTTATTGGGGTCAGGACAGGTGGATAGGCAAGGTGAAGTGTGTAAGCTAAGCAGGAAATGCAAATGAAAATCAGAGAGAAGGTACCCCTTCAGAACAGATTCTTAGAAAGCCATTATTAGGAACATATGGGCCACATCTTTGAGAAGAGTTGTGGAATTCACATTAGAGTAATGGCATCACTTAGATTCATGCTCTTCTCTCAGGGAGAGAAATCAATATTTATAGGATATCAAAGGGTCTTCATCATGTGTCTCAGTCTGTTTTTATTGCTATAAACAAATACCTGAGGCTGGGTAATATATAAGGAAAAGAGGTTTATTTGGCTCACACAATTCTGCAGGCTGTACGAGAAGCATGGCGCCAGCATCTGCTTCTGTTGAGGGCCTCAGGAAGCCTCCATCGTGGTGGAAGGCAAAGGGGAACCCGTGTGTCACATGATCAGGGAGGAAGAGAGCAAGAGAGGGGAGGAAGGTATCAGATTCTTTTTAACAATAAGATCTCACAGGAAGTAGGAGTGAGAACTTAATCCCATGAAGACAGCACCAAGCCATTCATGAGGGATCTGCCCCCGTAACGAAAACACCTCCCAGTGCGCCCCACCTCCAACATTGGGGATCAAATGTCAGCATGAGATTTGGAGGAGACAAACATTCAAACTTTATCATTGTGCTTGTTTTCTTCAGAAATAGACCGAATTGATATGTTTCATGATGACATTATGATCTAAAAATGAGAGTTTATTTCAGTTTGTCCTGTATACACCCAAGAGGTCCAGGATATTATTCTGTCTGTCTACCACAAGTCCTGCAAACTAGAAGATGGCCTTAACAGTCAATCTAGGGTGGTTCTGCCCAATGACCTTTTGTCTTTCCTTCAGTGTCTTCCAAAGCACATAGTAATATTCTATCATGAATTATATGAAAGCTGTTTACATGGATTAAACAGTAAATCTGACAAACAGGCTGCTTTTTGATGACTCTAGACATATTTCTTGTTACATTTTAGACATTTGAGAAAAAAGTCAAATTTCTTAATACTTTATGTTCAATTGAGTTTGAAGCCATAAAGAGGAAGGAAATAATAAGGATTAGAGCAAAAATAAATGAAATAGAGAATAGAAAAACAATAGAATCAATGAAACAAAAAATTAGTTCTTTGAAGAGATCAACAAAGTTGACAAAGCTTTAACTAGATTAAGGAAAAAGAATACTCAACTACTAAAATCAGAAATGAAAGACACTACTACTGATTTATAGGAATAAAAAGGATTGTAAGAGAATTAGTATAAGAGCTATATGTCAAAAAATTGGATAACCTAGATGAAACAGACAAATTCCTAGAAACATACAAACCAACAAAGTTGACTCAAGAACAAAGAATAAATCTGAATAGATCTATAAAAAGTAATGATATTCAATTTTGATTGAATCAGCAACCAAAACTCTCCTAACAAAGAAAAGCCCAGGAACTGATGACTTCGCTGGTGAATTCTACCAAACGTTTAGAAACGAATTAACACTAATCCTTCTCGAACTCCTCCAAAAAGTTGAGAAACAGAACCCTTTCTGAGTCATTCTATGAAGCCAACATTACCCTGATACCAAAGCTAGACAGACAATACAAGAAAACTATAGCCAAATGTCCCCTATGAATGCATTATAGATACAAAAATCCCCAACAAAATACTAGGAAATTAAATTCAGCAGCCCTTAAAAGAATTTTACACTATGACCAACTGAGATTTATCCCAGAAATTTAAGAGTGGTTTAACGTATGAAAATCAGTCGATGTAATACACCAAGTAATAGAAGGAAGGAGTGAAAAACTCATGATCATCTCAATTGATATAGAAGAACATTTGAGAAAATCCATTCCTCCTTTATGATAGAACTGTCCAACAAACCAGGAATAGAAAGGAACTGTCTCAACATGATAAAGACCATGTATTAAGAACTCACGACTAACATCATTCTCAATGGGGAAAAATTTCAAGCTTTTCCACTAAAATCAGAAGCCATGGATGCCTGTGTTTGCCACTTCTATTCAACACAGTATTGGCAGTTCTAGCCAGACCCATCAGGCAAGAAAAAGAAATAAAATAAATCCAAATTAGAAAGGAAGAAGTAAAACTATCTCTATTTGCAAGTGATATAAGTGTAGAAAGCCCTAAAGAATACCAAAAATAGCCTCTTAAAGCTAATAAACAAATTTAGCAAGGCTTCAGAATACAAAATCAACACACAAAAATCAGTCGTGTTTCTACACACTAGCAGTAAAAAATCTGAAAAGGAAATTAAGAATTTTTTATTTACAGTAGTACCCAAAAGAATAAAATATTTAGAAATCAATTTAACCAGGAAGGCAGAAGACTTGTACACTGAAAACTACAAAGCATTCTGGAAAGAAATTAAAGCAGACTTAAATAAATGGAAAGAGATCCTGTGTTCATAAGTTGGAAGACTTAATATTGTTAAAACGACAACGCTACTCAAAATGATATGTAGAGTCAATGTAATCACGCTAATAAGATCCCAACAGCGCTTTTGGCAGAAACGGAAAAACCTATTCTAAAATTCATATAAAATTTCAAGGAACCCAAAATAGCCAAAATAATCTGAAGAGGAACAAAGTTGTAGGACTCACATTTTCTGATATTAAAATGTACTACATAGCTATAATAATTGAAATAGCATGGACTTGGCACAGAGATAGACAATATAGACCAATGGAATAGAATCGAGAGGCCAGAACTAACACTCACATCTATGGGTAATTAATTTTCAGCAAGGGTTCCAGGATCACTCAATGGGGAAAAGGACAATCTCTTCAACAAATGGTGTTGGGGAAACTAGATATCCACAAGCAAAAGAATGAAGTTGGACCTATACTTTTACACAATGTACAAACATTAACTCAAAATGGATCAAAGACCAAAATTTAATGCTATAAAACACTTAAATATTAAATGCTATAAAACTCTTAGAGGAAAACATACTGAAAAATCTTCATGACCTTGGGTTTGACAATGGTTTCTTAAATATAACATCAAAAGTACAAGTGATGAAACAACTGATAAATTGGACTTCATCAAAATTGTGTATCAAGTGACACTATAAAGAGAGTGAAAAGATAACACAAAAAATTGGAGAAAATGTTTGCAAATCATACATCTGACAAAAAACTAATATACTCAGGCATTTCTTTATGGCAATGCAAGAATGGCCTAATACAATACCCAAAAGAATTGAATGCATAAAGAATCCTACAACTCAACAAATAAAAGATAAATAACTCAAATTTTTAATGGACAAAAGACTTAGACACTTCTCTAAAAAAAAGACATGTAAATGGTCAATAAGCAACTCAAAAGATGCTAAAACCACAATGAGATACCACTTTGTACCTACTAGAATGGCTATAATTAGAAGAAAAAATAACTAGTGTTGTTGAACATGTGGAGAAATTGGAAACCTAGTATACCTCTGGTGGGAATGTAAATGGTTTAACTGCTGAGGAAGATAGTTTGGCAATTCCTCAAAACGTAAAACAGAATTATCACCCAGTAATTCTACTCTTAAGTATATACCGGATATAGTTTGACTGTTTGTTCCTATGCAAATCTCATGTTGAAATGTAATTAATCTCCGGTGTTAGAGTTGGGGCCTGGTGGGAGGTGATTGGATCATGGGAGTGGTTTCTCATGAGTGGCTTCACCATCTCTAGCTGTCATCAAGATTGTGAGTTCTCACAAGATTTGATTGTTTAAAAGTGTGCAGCACCTCCCCACTTCCTCTCTTGCTCTGGCTTTTGCCATGTGACATGCCTGCACCCACTTTGCCTTCCATCATGATTGGAAGCTTCCTGAAGCCTCCCTGGAAGCAGATGCTGCTATGCTTCCTGTACAGACTGCAGAAATGTGAGCCAACTAAACCCTTTTTTCTTTGGCACTTACCCAGTCTCAGGTATTTCTTTATATCAATGCAAGAATGGCCTAATACAATACCCCAAAGAATTGAAAACAACAACTTAATCAGTGACTTGTACACTAATGTTCATAGCAGCATTATTCACAATAGACAAAAGGTAGAAACAACCAAAATGTCTATCAAAAGATAAACGGATAGGCCAGGCACGATGGCTCACGCCTGTAATCCCAGTACTTTGTGAGGCCAAGGTGGGCGGATCACCTGAGTTCAGGAGTTCGAGACTAGCTTGGCCAACATGGTAAAACCCTGTCTTTAAAAAACAAACAAACAAAAAGATAAATGGATAAACAAGATGCAGTATATACATACAATTATTATTCAGCCATAGAAAAGAAGAATGGAATACTGATACATGCTATAAGATGGATGAACCTTGAAAACATTATGCTAAGTGAAATAAGCTAGACACAAAAGGATAGTGTATGATACCATTATGTGAAATATTTACAATAGGCAAATTCATAGAGACAGGAAGTAGATTAGAGGTTACCAGAGGTTACCAGGGGCTGGAAGGAGAGGAAAATGGGAGTTTTTGCTGAATAAGCACAGTTTCTATTTGGGGTGATGAAAGGGCTTTGGTAATAGATGGTGGTAACGGTTGCACAACATTGTAAATATAATTAATACCACCAAATTGTACAGTTAAAAATGATTAAAATGGCAAATTGCATATGTCTTTCTCCGTTTGTGTTGCTATAAAGGAATACCCAAGGCTGGGTAATTTATAAAGAAAAGAGGTGTATTTAGCTTATGATTCTGCAGATTGTACAAGAAGCATGGCACTGGCATCCACATCTGGTGAGGGCCTCAGGCTGCTTCCGCTCATGTCAGAAAGGGAAGGCAAGCCAATGTGTGTGGAGATCACATGGTGAGAGAGGAAACAAGAAAGAGGTGGGTACTGCTAGGCTCTTTTAACAACTAGCTCTTGGCCAGGTGAGGTGGCTCATGCTTGTAATCTCAACACCTTGGGAGGCTGAGGTGGGAGAATCTCTTCAGCCCAAGAGTTCAAGACCAGCCTAAAAAAAAAAAAAAAATCCTATAAAACCTAGCTCTCACAGGAACTAAGAGACCAAAAACTCACTCACCTGCAACCCAGGGAGAACATTAATCTATTCATGAGGGATCTGCCCCATGACCCAAATACCTTCCATTAGGCCCCACCTCCAACACTGGGTATCCAATTTCAACATCAGATTTGGAGGGTCAAATACCTGGGCTACATACCCTTGTCTCTAGAAAAAATATATAAAATTTAGATGGGTGTGGTGACACATACCTCTAGTCTCAGCTACTTTGGAGGCTGAGGCAGGAGGATCATTTCAGCCCAGAATTTCGAGGCTACAGTGAGCTATAATCAGGCCACTGTACAACAGCCTGCAAGACAGAATGAGACCCTGTCTTTAAAAAAATAAAAATAAAAATAAATTAATTACTTTTAAAAAGACCTTGTATTGCAAGTTGGTAAACATAAGTACATTTGTTGGGACTATGAAATAATTCACCCACAGGATCAATGTTACAAATTGTTATTTGCATCTCAATTTAGTTCGTTCAACCCAGAATTCACATTTGCCATAAAACTGTAGTCAATGATTCAATTAAACTACTGATAACCAAAGGGGAAAGCAACATATTGAATCAGAAATAGTTTTATCAATTGGTGTCACCAAAGAAAAGCAGGTTTCACTAGTGTTGAGAAAATAGAAAGTTTTCTATTGATTATGGAGAAATTTCAGTTCAGTTTCTAGAAGGTTAAATGCCCCAATTTCTTTTTTTTTAATGACTGTGTTAAACTAAATAATGGCCTCCATTATTTCCATATGCAAATCCTCAGAACCTACCACTGTTACGTTATATGGCAAAAGGGAATTTGCAAATGTGATTAAGGATCTTGAAATTGGGAGATTATCCTGGGTTATCTGATGTCCCCAATGTAATCACAAGGATCTTTATAAAAAAAGGAAATGTGAGACAAAGGGAGAGAAGGTGATGTGATGAAGTAGAGGTCAGAGTGATGTGGGGGCTAGATCCAAGGAATGTGGGCAGCCTCTAGAAGCTGAGACAGACAGGGAAATGGATTCTCCTCCTAGAGCCTCCAGAAGGAAAGGAGCCTTGCCAACCCATTTGAAACTTCTGATCTCCAGATCTATACAATAATACATCTGTGTTGTTTTTTTTATTTTTATTTTGTTAGGTACAGGTCTTGCTCTGTTGCTCAGGCTAGAGTGCAGTGGCATGGTCTGGGCTCACTACAGCCTCAACCTCCCAGGCTCAAATGATCCTCCTGCCTCAACCTCCTGAGTAGGTGGAGCTACAGACATGTGCCACCACACCTGGCTAATTTTTTTATTTTTTGTAGAGATGGGGTCTCACTACATTGCCCACCCTGGTCTCCAACTCCTGGGCTCAAGCAATCCTCCTGCCTCAGCCTCCCAAAGTGCTGGGCTTAGAAGTGTGAGAGTCACAGTTCCTGGCCAATCTGTGTTATTTTAATGTTTAAGTTTGTCATAATCTGTTACAGCAGCAATAAAAAACTAACAAAATGACTAATTTTACTTCCAAATCCATTGTCTCCCTCCCTTAAAATAATTTTATCACAATAACTATTTTTATATTACAGTCACACACCATATAATGACCTTTTGGTCAATGACAAACTTCATATACAGTGGTAGTTCCTTAAGATTGCAGTGGAGCTGAAAAATTTTTATTGCCCAGATATGTCAGAGCTGATCATGGTACAACACATTACTTACATATTTGTGATGATGCTGGTGTAAACGAACCTACTGTGCTGCCAGTCCTATAAAAGTATAGTACATACAATATGTACAGTACATGGTACTTGATAATGATAACAGACGACTGCGTTATTGGTTTATGTACTTGCTATATTATACTTGTCTTATTATTTTAGAGTGTCTTTTTTATACTTAAAAAAAAGTTAACTGCAAAACAGTCCTTCAGGAGGTATTCCAGATAAGGCATAGTTACCATAGGAGATGGCAGCTCCATGCATGTTACTGCTCCTGAAGACCTTCCAATGGGAGAAGATAAGGAGGTGAAAGACAGTGATATTGAAGACCCTGGCCCTGTGTAGGCCTAGTCTCATGTGTAATGTGTGTTTATGTCTTTTTGTTTTTTGTTTTTTTTTGAGACTAGGCCTCACTATGTTGGCCCACGCTGGAGTGCAGTGGCTGTTCACAGGTGCAATCATATTGCACTGCAGCCTCGAACTCCTGGCCTTGGACAATCCTCCCACCTCAGCCTTCTGAGTAGCTGGGATTATAGGCTTGCACCATAGCACCTGGCTATGTCTTCATTTTTAAACAAAAAAGTTTGAAAGTAAAAAATAAATAAATAAAAATTTTTAAATAGAAGAAAGCTTATAGGCTGTGTGCAGTGGCTCATACCTGTAATCCCAGCAATTAGGGAGGCTGAGGCAGGCAGATCACTTGAGGCTAGGAGTTTGAGACCAGTCTGGCCCACATGGTGAAACTCTGTCTCTATTAAAAATGCAAAAATTAGCCAGGCATGGTGGCACACTCCTGTGTCCTAAGCTGCTCGAGAGGCTGAGGCATGAGAACTGCTTGAACTTGGGAGGCGGAGGTTGCAGTGAGCCAAAATCATGCCACTGCACTCCAGCCTGGACAACAGAGTGAGACTCTGTCTTAAAAAAAAAAAAAAAAAAGAAAGAAAATGAAAAAGAAAAAACCTCACTGTAGTCTCCACCTCCTGGGCTCAAGCAATCCTTGCACCTCAGCCTCCTAAGTAGCTGGGACCACAGGCACACACCACCACACCCAGCTAATTTTTGTATTTTTTTTTTTTTGGTACAGACAGGGTTTCATCATGTTGCCCAGGCTGGTCTTGAACTCCTGGGCTCAAGAGATCCTCCTGCCTCTGCCTCCCAAATTGCTGGGATTACAGGCATGAGCCACTGTGCCTGGCCTAAGTGTACCACTTTATATCTTCTATAGTTTACTTTTACTGTACCTTTTCTACATTTAGGTACACAAATATTGACCATTATGTTACAACTGCTTACAGTATTCAGTACAATAATAGGCTGCCAGGTTTGCAGCCTAGGAACAATAGACAATGCCATATATAGCCTAGATGTGTTGTAGACTATACCATCTATGTTTGTGTAAGTGCACTGTATGATGTTTGCACAACGATGGAATCACCTCATGATGAATTTTTCAGACTATATCCTTGTTAAGTAATGCATGACCTTAATCAGGAATGAGTCAGAGCAGTATTGTAATCTTGATGAAGATGTTGATGTAGATAATACTCCCATTTACAATGCACTTGCCAAATACAAGGCATTGCACTGAAAGCTTTACATACTTTATTTAAAAACATTTTACAACCTTTTAGGTAAGTACCATTAACCACTTTTACAGATCAGAAAACAGGGTCTATGAGGTGAAATAATTTGTCATACAGTGGTGATGTAAATATGCATATAATGAAAGAGAATAGGCAAGTCAGAAGTGATTTTTGTATTTCTTTTAATAGATTAAGGGTACTTACTATCAGCAAAAGAGTGAAAGTCTGACAGAAAAGAAAAAGATGGAAAGAAATGTGGGGATGTGCAATTCCTTATGTTGGTTGGTTCAGCAGAGCTTTGCCGTTGTTCAGATGGAGTTTAGGCAAGCAAAAGATGACCAGCCATTGCTGGGTATTTGAACATCAGATGTTCATAAGGCTTAGGTATTCTTAAAAGAAAAATTTATTCTCTTAAAAATTCTGAAAAAAAGTTCTCTGTATTAAAACTTCATAATGAACATTGCCACATTGTATATTAGGCACAGATATTATTTGTTGGAGTTTTTGGTAATTGTTATTTTTGTAACTGGAATATTTAATATATGTTTTATACATATTTATTTTATTTATTTATTTTTTGAGATGGAGTCTCACTCTGTCGCCCAGGCTGCAGTGAAGTGGCGCGATCTTGGCTCACTGCAACCTTTGCCTCCCAGGTTCAAGTGATTCTCCTGCCTCAGCCGCCCGAGTAGCTGGGACTACAGGCACGTGCCACCACGCCCAGCTAATTTTTTGTATTTTTAGTAGAGACGGGGTTTCACTGTGTTAGCCAGGATGGCTTCGATCTCCTGACCTCGTGATCCACCCACCTTGGCCTCCCAAAGTGTTGGGATTACAGGCGTGAGCCACCGCTATATATTTTGCAAACAATAGCAAATCTAGAGGAAATTCTTTGAAGTAAGAAGCAGTGGTACTTAAAACTGGCTACTTGTATTTATCATCTCTGTTTCAGTTTTTTAAGAAATTCAAAATTTTTACAGAGAGTTGATAAAAACATTTGATGATTTGGGGTGCAGAGGAAGGATGGCTGGTATTTGAAAAATAAATAAATAAAGGCCTTCCTTGATTCTTAATGTTTAGACTGAAGGCTTCAGTGGAGCTTCTTCCTCAGCCTGAATTCCAGTGATAATGTGTCTGTTCTTGACATGAGCAATAACTGGAGTACTTAGGATTAAACAAAATATTAGATGTGCCGGGCCAGAGGAGGTGAGGAAAGTCTAAAGTGATAAGGTGCTAGTCAGCTCAGAGTGGCTGTTTTAGATAGTGTAATACAGCAGACTAGAAACTTGTCGGAAAGGAAAGGTACCAGGCAGGAGATAAATGTACACCCACCTTAGCTAATGTAAGGAGCTGAAAACTCTATTTTGAATTTTTATCCTAAACATGGAAATAACATCCTTATGAGAAATTGAACACTAAATAGACATATTAAACCAATTTTGCTTATTGAGACATCTGTTCATTCATTTATTCAACAGCTATTTACTGAGTGGATACTTGGTAGTTTTTAGGCCTTAGAATTAACCCAAGACAAACTTGTGAGGTAGGAAGTTGCATTTCAGTCATCTCACTACTTTGCTCTTTCTTGAGACTTCAGCCTTCCCTTTCCTCCCTCAGGTTTTGGAGCTTAGAAATTAATAATATTAAAGCTTCAATGACAAGACTGTTTAAAATAAAAAATGGTTGGGCTGGGCACGATGGCTCATGCCTGTAATCCCAGCACTTTGGGAGGCTGAGGCGCACAGATCACAAGGTCAGGAGATCGAGACCATCCTGGCTAACACGGTGAAACTCCATCTCTACTAAAAATACAAAAAACTAGCTGGGCGTGGTGGCAGGCACCTGCAGTCCCAGCTACTTGGGAGGCTGAGGCAGGAGAATGGCATGAACCCGGGAGGTGGAGCTTGCAGTGAGCTGAGATGGCGCCACTGCACTCCAGCCTGGGCAACAAAGTGAGACTCCGTCTCAAAAAAAATAAAATAAAATAAAAAGTAAAATAAAAAAATAAAAAAAAATTGTTGTGTTCAGTGGGAGATAATGTGTTAAGGAAAGAAAGACGTTAAGTTCTACTACTTGTAGGTAGGTGGAATTATTGTGTCCTTTGTATTGTTTTTGCTTTCCTGTCATAAGATATTCCTTGGTTTAATACCATAATAAATACATAAAAATACACATAAGAAACTAAACAATAAAAAGAATGTGTTAAATAATTTTTTTTTACCATTTCAGGTTTTTTTTCTTTCTAATTCAGTTAATCAGTCCTGCTTTGCTTATTTGTCAAGGTTCTTCAACTTGCTTAAAAACTTTTTCAAATTGGTCAAAAATTAATCTTTCAAATTACTACAGGCTTACAAAACTTTTATGCACCATGCAAACATCATGAGATGTAGTATGGGAGGTAAGGAATATTTAACCTGCTTCAAACTTTAAGTATTGGACATTTGGATTGTTTTCCACTTTACCCCATTACCGACAAAGTGGAGCAGATATAACTGATTAATATTTTTAACCAACTATTTTGACTTAAGTATCGAATTCCTTTGGGGTCTTGAAGGATATAATACACTATGAAAGAAAAGTAGAAGGTGCTGATGATACAACGAATTAGGAGGACCTATTTTGTCGTGGGAACTTTAGAGAAGACTTTTTGAAGAAGAGTCACATGTCCTACCTCAATCAGTCTACAAGCGCAAGGAAACAACTTAGAGTTCGACAAAGTCATATTTATAGATTCATTGCAGTGAGGGAGATCACACACAGAACTGTGAGGCATCTCACTCACCAAACAAGGACAAGATAATCATTATAGGATTTGGGGGAAGAGTAGAGTTTGGGTGAGATTTAAATGAAACCATTTAAGTGGCTTTTAATGAACTCAAAGCAAATCAGGAGTCAACATCAGGTCTGGGCAGGATCCAGGGTTCTGCTTCCTTCAAAACTAGAAAGTTAAGACAGATATGGATTATTGTGTCCAGAAGCCCTTTTCTTAAGCTCTGTGGCTGGAATGGAAATGGAGGCTGATTCTCTGTGTCAAAGTGTTTTAGAGTCTCCAAGACGCTATGATGTTTTATGTTATAATAATATAATTTCAAACGACAACGTTTCTTTTCTAATAGCATATAATTTTAAAGAACAAAGTTTCTTAGCAAGTAAGAAAACAGTAATCACTCAAAGAATGGGGTTGTTATGAAGCTTTATCGCATGTCTTTGGGATAACTAGTTTCCCGTAAACTTTGCAGCTAGTTTTATCAATGTTTATTAATCCAGCTTGATGAGTGATGGAACAGATTTTTACTTTCTAAGTCCCAGCAAAAGCTTCCCCTAAAAAGAGAGAACCAACCAAGAGACAGGGGAAAATAACTTTCTGGAAAGAACAAAAAAACAAGCATGAAGGTTGTGAGCTGGTTCTGGACACATTTAAGACCCTAAAAACCAATAGGACAATAACACAGGCAACAAATGATTTGAAATGATGGAGAGATAGGGGCAGATCTTTCAGGAAGCTGCTAGCCTTAGTTAGGATTTTGCATTTGATCAAAGAGTAGAGGGAAGTCACTAAAGGATTCTAATCAGGGGAATTACCGAATCTTCATCTTCTAAGATAGAGAATGCATTGTCATAGGCAATAGTGGAAGGTAGATGACCATTTGGAAAGTTGTTGCAAGAGAGGATGATAGTTTATACTAGGGTGGCAGCAGTAAAGAAGGCAGAAATGGAGAGATTCAAGACAAAATTTTAGGTAGAATCAAATGGTCTTAGTGAGAGTTTGAATGTGTAACAGGAGGGAGATGGAGTCAGGGATAATATCCAGGTTCTGGCTTGAATATCCGAGTAGAAGGTGGCATCATTAGGATGTGGAAGACTGGAGGTGAGGCAGGATTGATGGAAAAGAACAAGTACAGCTGTAGACATCTTACATTTGTGCGGCATTTAAGTAAGAATGCCTTGAAAGCATTTGGGTATTTGGATCTGAGGTTGAGAAGAGAGGATTGAGTTGGTGCTAAATATGGAGTCATAAGTATATATTCAAAGCCATGGAAAAAAAAGTAGCACGAGAAGAGAAAAAGGATCAGGACCAAGTCTAAAGGAACTACCAAATCCAGAGGTGAACAGGAGGACAGGAGCCAGCAAGGAAGCCCAGGCACCATGAAGATGGCTGAATTCACTTATGAAAAGTTTGGTTTGATGCTTTGATGTTAACTCAGTTGTACGTGTCATCAATTTCTTAGAGAATCGAGAGCTGAAACATATTCTGAACTGCCTTCTATTTTTATTCACTGCTTTGTATTATCTGTAGTCATCTAGTTAGACAATTCCTTTCCTGAAATGCCTGTGATGGAAGCCAGGAAGCATTTATTTCTTTGTGAAGCATTTGGAAAATATAAACATGGCCGGGCGCGGTGGCTCATGCCTGTAATCTCAGAACTTTGGGAGGCCGAGGTGGGCGGATCACGAGTTCAGGGGATGGAGACCATCCTGGCTAACACGGTGAAACCCCGTCTCTACTAAAAAAATACAAAAAAATTAGCTGGGCATGGTGGTGGGCGCCTGTAGTCCCAGCTACTCGGGAGCCTGAGGCAGGAGAATGGCGTGAACCTGGGAGGCGGAGTTTGCAGTGAGCCGAGATCACGCCACTGCACTCCAGCCTGGGCGACAGAGCGAGACTCTGTCTCAAAAAAAAAAAAAAAGAAAAATATAAACATGCAAATGACATCTTATCACAGCACTGAACAGATGTTTTAAATTGCATTTATTTATTTATTTATTTATTTAGAGGAAGTCTCGCTCTGTTGCCCAGGCTGGAGTGCAGTGGCGCGATCTCGGCTCACCGAAAACTCCACCTCCTAGGTTCAAGCGATTCTCCTGCCTCAGCCTCCCGAGTAGCTGGGACTACAGGCACGTGCCACCATGCCCGGCTAATTTTTGTATTTTTAGTAGAGACAGGGTTTCACCATATTGGCCACCGTGTTGGCCAGGCTGGTCTCGAACTCCTGACCTTGTGATCTGCCCACCTCGGCCTCCCAAAGTTCTGGAGGCGTGAGCCACCGCGCCAGGCCATTTTTAATTTTATTTTAAGCCTATGTTCTAACCACATCATTTACCTGCAGGTCCTTGGATACAATATGTACTTTTGAGTCTGAGTCTGTGCTCACGTTGTTCCTTCTGCTTAGAATGTTCTCTCTTTCCCCTTCTCTACCTAATCAAGTCCTACTTAACTTTTAAAACCCAGCTCTAGTGGCATGCTCCTCTCTGAGCCTTTTGTTGTTCTAATAAGGCGTAACTAATCACTCCTCCTAAATACACTCACAGTATCCAGCTCATTCCATTAGTACAGATCTTTTCATGTTTTACTTCGCTAAGGTATAGACAAATATATCTGTCTCTACCATTGGACTATAAGGTTCTTAAGTGACCATGAGTTATTCAACTTTACGTCCCTCATACAGAGAACAAATCTTGTTGAATTTACTTGCATGTAATTGGAGATGACATGGCAAAGAATAATGTGGATATACCCTGCTCAGCTTCAGATAAATGCTATGACATATGTAAACAAAATATTCAGCTGACTTTTAAACTTTACATCCAATTTTGACTTATATGGGATGTAAACTACATACATGTACATATGCTTCAGACCTTTGAACATGCTGCTTTCTGTCTGGCATATGCCCCTATCTTCTCTCTCCCACAAGTCCACCCATCTCTCAATTTTAGTTTACAGGCTTTTTTTTTTTTTTTTTTTTTTTTTTTTTTGAGACAGATTCTTGCTCTGTCGCCCAGACTAGAGTGCAGTGGTACGATCTCGGCTCACTGCAACAACCACCTCCCAGATTCAAACGATTCTCGTGCCTCAGCCTCCCGAATAGTTGGGATTACAAGTGTGTGCCACCACGCCCATCTAATTTTTTCTATTTTTAGTAGAGATGGAGTTTCACTGTGCTGGTCAGGCTGATCTTGAACTCCTGGGCTCAAGTGATCCACCTGCCTCGGCCTCCCAAAGTAAGCCCAGCCATTTTTTTTTTAAGAGATAATATCTCAGTCTGTGACAGACTGGAGTACAATGGCGCTATCAATTTTAGTTCTAACTAAACTGTCAACAACAAAATCTTTGACTACCTTCTCTCTCTACCTCAAGATAGCTTGCTCAATTGCAATGTCACCCTGCACTCTCATTTTACAACACACATCATCTTTTAGTTTCTCAGTAAGTGTTGCTTTCTCTCTACAACTGAAAGCTCGAGGAGGCAGGGACAAAACCTGTAGTTTTTCTTTTCTTTTTTTCTTTTTTCAGCAAAGGGAGGGCTGATTTTTTAACTTTTTGAAAATAGATGAGAGTAAACAATAAAATAATAAAACCTCACATGCCATCGCTCAGCCTCAGTAACCATCAACCCATGGCCAATCCTGTCCCTACTGCAACCCTGCCCATTCCCTACACTCACACATTATTTTGAAGTAAGTCCCAGACAACATATGATTTTATTTGTAAATATTTCAGTCTGTTTCTGAAATGACTCCTTTTTGTAACATAACCACAATGTCATTATTACACCTAAGAATGAATAATACCTCTTTAATATCATCAACTATCCAGGCAGAATTCAGATTTTTAATTATCTCTTTCAGATAATCTTTTTAATGTCTTTTCTTGAATCAGGATACAAACAAGGTTCACACATTGAGATTGGCTGGTAGTCTATTGTCTCTTTTTACCTACCGATTCACCTTCTATTTTTTCTTTTTGTTTCATCATTTATAAATATAAATACTATTTTTTTAATAGCTATGTCTCCAGTTCCTCACCCAGTCTTGGTCATAGCAGGTTTTAGATAAATATTGTATTTGATGAATAAATGAATGAATACAAGTAATGCATAACTGAGAAATCTCAGGAGATACCAAAAGAAATGTAATTTAATAATAATCTTTGATTTCTCTGATCTCATATTTCTTCAATGTTCTCTAAATTTAAAATTTTATTTGATACATAATAAATGCATACTTTTGAGGCAGAAAGTATTATTCTCTGAAACATTTCTAAGAAATTAATTTACCCCGGAATTGTCATAATTAGTTAATTTTAACTACTTCCCCTATATAAAATTGGTGACTTGGGCAGCAAGACAAAAAAGGTTTCTATTGTTAAGTAAGACTTATTTTTCTTCCTCAAGAAATCATCACTAGTAAGCATTGCAACCTTTACTTTGCTATTGTTAGATGTGGCAACAACTCGTGCTGGACTCGAGAAAATTGTGCAAGCTTGAATTAAATAATTGCTTCTAAATTTGCTTATAAGGAAGTTTATTGTCTTACCAGGGACTAACACTACAAATATGGAAATGGAGTCAAGCAGTGACTCAATGTAGATAACATAATTGGAAACTGGGAGAAAGAGTGTTCATTCAACAATAGAGAAAAACTAAAATAAAAGTTAAACTTTACTTCATCAATGCTGGGTCCAAATTAATTAATGAAAACAGAAATAAAACTATGCTTCCTAGGATAATATTGACAGTATTTTTAAAAGTTTATTATTTTTTAAAAAGATTATTATATGAAGAGTAAAAGTCTTTCTATCTCTCTAGCCTCCCTTATTCAGATTTTCAGAGGTAAAAGCATTGTTTCTTATATATTCAGGCATTTTCCTATCAGAATGTCCAACATATGTATATTTATATACAGTCATGCACCTCATAATTACATTTAGGTCAATGGCAGGCCACATATATGATAGTGGGTGGTCCCATAAGATTATAATTGAACTGAAAATTTCCTATCATGTAGTGACATGGTAGCTTTCATAACCTGGTAACACAGCGTATTGCTCACAGGATTATAGTGATGCGATGCAGACAAACCTACTGCACTGTCAGCTATGTAAAAGTATAGCACATACAATTATGTACAGTACATAATAATAAGTGACTATGTTACTAGTTTATGTATTTACTATACTATACTTTTTATCATTATTCTAGAGTGTACTCCTTCTACTTATTAAAAAAAAGTTAACTGTAAAACAACGCCATGAAGAGTAATATATTCTAGATACACTTCTGTACTTGCCTTTCACACAGTTGATCATGTTGTTCAAATTGTCTAGATTTGGGCATTAGTAGCTCCTTTAAGTTGGCTCCTATGTCTTGTAGACTTGGCCCCCATTATTTTGTGAACATGTCTTTACTTTCTGGCACTTTAAATGGTCTAAGCTCATCTTGCATTCCTCCTGCTCTAGTCTGGACTCAGTCATTTCCCCAAGGAGCTCTGGTTCCTTTCATCGAGAATGGTATTTAGAAACCAAGATCTGGAAACTAGTGCTCATTGCTACTGGGATCTCACTGCATGTATATCCATGAGTTCACACTGATATTCCTGCTCTGATTTCAATCTGGAGTTTGTGCTACTTCACAATTTCTCTATTTTAACTCTTATCTGACAGAAAACTGGCTCTCGATATCCACAGTGTATTTCTTAATTACTCAATCCTAGTATATACATAAAGTAGTTTCAGAAATACTAACCCATACCCTATGAAAAACAAATTTACTAAAGTACAATATTTTCATACAGTTCTTTCTGTTTTTAGCCTTCTAGTATATGGTTAAAATAATGTTCTCCAGGTTATGTTAGATAATTCTTTTATTTTTTATCCCATTTAGTATAATTATGTCATTTATTTGTAATACAGTTGGGCTTATTTGTTACTGCTTATATTCCATTTTGGGTCTTCCCTTCCCCAACATCCTGGTTAATTTTAATTATTTATTTTTTGGGGGGGTGAAACATTACCATATTTATAGGAATTAGAGCTATGCATATAGGAATACTCTGAGTGTGTCACATCTCTCTAATCATTTCTACCCTTTTTATTCCCCAATTTTTCCACACTGATCCTACTTAACCTCTGTAGGTGACGAATCTCATTTGTCTCTAGTTTAACTTTCCAGTATGTTTTTCCTCATATATGTGGATATATGTATATTTTCTTATATATACTTCTTTCTTACATGAAGAGTAGTATACTCTAGATATTCTTCTGTACTTTGCTTTCCACATGAAAATATACCTTGGAAATCTCTGAATATGAATCCATAGAGCTCTTCCTCATTTATTTTATAGCTGCATAGTGCTCTCCTGTGTGAATTATTAGAGTTTATTTAAAAACCACTGTTCTATATATGAGTATTTGTTTCTTAAATTTAGCAATTATATATAATCTTACAATGAATAAACTTGTACATATGTTTTTCATATTGTTGGATATGTATCTTCAGGGTAGATTTTATAAGTGAGATTATAGGGCTCCTTATGTAGTTATATTAGGTATTGCCAAGTTTCCCTTGAGAAGGGTTGTAGCAGTTTGTATTCCTTAACAGCAATGAAAAGAGTGATTATTTTCCTAAGATCTGGCTAACAAAATGTGTTGTCATATTTTAATTTATTACATTTTATTAGTTAAAATTTTAATTTTTACCCATCTGATAGGTGAGAAATAATAGCTTAGCATTTTTTTAATCTGCATTTTTCTAGTTATGAACTTGCACTTTACAGGTATATATATGTATTTTTCTTTTTAAAAAATTGTATTTTAAGTTCTGGGGTACATGTGCAGGACATGCAGGTTTATTACGTAGGTAAATGTGTGCCACGGTGGTTTGCTGCACCTACTAACCCGTCACCTAGGTATCAAGCCCTGCATGCATTAGCTATTTATCCTGATGCTCTCCCTCTTCCCAACCCGCTGACAGGCCCGAGTGTGTGTTATTTCCCTCCCTGTGTCCATGTGTTCTCAATGTTCAGCTCACACTTATGAGTGAGAAACATGAGGTGCTTGGTTTTCTGTTCCTGTGTTAGTTTGCTGAGGATGATGGCTTCCAGCTTCATCTGTGTCCCTGCAAAGGACATGATCTCATTCCTTTTTATGGTTGCATAATATTCCATGGTGTATATGTACCACATTTTCTTTATCCAGTCTACCATTGATGGACATTTGGGTTGATTCCATGTCCTTCCTCCTGTGAATAGTGCTGCAGTAAACATACACATGCATGTATCTTTATAATAGAATGATTTATATTCCTTTTGGTATATACACAGTAATGGGATTGCTGGGTCAAATGGTATTTCTGGTTCTAGATCCTTGAGGAATCACCACACTGTCTTCCACAATGCTTGTACTAATTTACATTCCCACCAACAGTGTAAAAGCATTCCTTTTTCTCCACAGCCTCGCCAGCATCTATTGTTTCTTGACTTTGAAAAGTGATTATATGTATATTTACGGATCACTTTTTCAACAGCCTTGTTAAGGTTGTGGAGACAAAAACCACCCCATTTTGGATGCTAATCCACCATGTTGACTTCTGATTAGACCCAGTCCCATGAATAACTTCTGGTTTCTACTTTATTTACTGTCCCTAGTATAAGATCAAAACAACCCTGATGTTATCACACAAATTATAGGCTAGGACACACATAGCATTTTCGCCTGTTCTGGAGGGTTGCCTTTAATCGTTTTGCTGGAGCATGTGTACCCTTTCCATACGGTACACAAACCTTGGGTCTGGGAAATAACAGTGTGGAGATCTACCTGTCTTGCAGTCATCCAAGATCACACTTCTGTCCATAAGTTCCTCAATAAATCATCCATTACTGACGAACTGGATTTGTTCACTTCCTTCTTTGGTTTCTGGGCTTCTTCAGCATTTGGGAATAGCTTTGTGTGCACAGCTTTTTCACAGAACAAAGATATGACCTACTTTCTGTTTCTATAGAGTTGTTAAAGCCATTTGTGTGTCTCTGTGTGTGTGTGTGAATTGTCTATTGATGCCCTTTTCCCATTTTTTCTAATGGGTGCTTGGTGCCTGATCTCTTAATTTCTAACAATTATTTACATATTAGGAATATTAGCCCTTTTCCTGTAATATATGTTGAAAGCATGTTTTTAACCTGGTTGTCAGTTGTCTTTTGACTTTGTTTATGATATTTACCATGCAGTTTATTTTTATGTTACTAGATTCATCAGTCTTTTATAAATGGCTTTTAGATTTAGATTTATAACCATTGCCAACTGCTGGCTCCTCCAGAAACCACCAAAATGGTTTACTGATGAACAAAAACCAAGTTTATTGCTCACTGCAGTAAGGAAGATGACTGTCTTCACATAATCTTAGTAGCCTCAGAAAAGGGAGTCAAGGGTGGGATATTTGTAAGGTTTGGGGAGTCTGGTTCTAAGGTATGTCTTTCAATATGAGGTGTGCAGTCCTGACTGGGATAGGGTAAAGTTTGGATTGCTGGATACAGTGAGGCAAGACCTATAAAGCCAGCCTTGAAAGGTAAACAGTCACTTGAAAACCCAGTTGAGTGATCTACTGTTCTGAAAAGAAGGCTGTTTAGCCCGATGAGGCTGTATGAGTACAGATACATAGATCGGAAAGTTTCCAAGACAAAAAAGTAATTTGCAACTTTACTTTCTTAGGCAAGGATTTCTTGGAATAGTAAAGTCATCTTAGTGCAGACAGTTCCTAATCTTTTTATTTTTTATTTTTAGAGACATAGTCTCTCTCCATCCATTAGGTTGGAATTCAGTGTTGTGATCATAACTCACTGAAATCATAAGCTGGAATGCCTGGGCCCAAGTGATCCTTCCACCCCAACCTCCCAAGTAGCTAGGGCTACAAGCACATGCCACCATGCCCAGCTAATTTTTAATCTTCTTATATAGAGACAGATTCTTGTTATGTTGGCAAGACTGGTTTTGAACTCCTGGTCTCAAGTAATCTTCCTGCCTTGGCCTCCCAAAGTGCTAGGATTACAGGTATGAGCCACTATGCCCAACCAAACAGTTCCTAATCTTTTTAAGCTGTGTGGCTTCAGGTTGCTTTTGTTCTCAACATATCCTCTATAAGATTCCTACCATTGGCTGCGCGTGGAGGCTCACACCTGTAATCCCAGCATTTTGGGAGGCCAAAGCGGGTGGATCACCTGAGGTCAGGAGTTCAAGACCAGCCTGGTCAACATGGTGAAACCCCGTCTCTACTAAAAATACAAAAAACTAGCCAGGCATGGTGGCAGATGCCTGTAATCCCAGCTACTTGGGAGGCTGAGGCGGGAGAATTGCTTGAACCCGGGAGGCAGAGGTTGCAGTGAGCCATAAGCCAAGATCCCACCATTGCACTCAAGCCTGGGTGACAGAGCGAGACTCTGCCTCAAAAAAAAAAAAAAAAAAAAAAAAATCCTATCATCTCTTTTATCTTCAGGTCATCTTTTTCTATTTTGATGTGTAAATTCTAGTTCTATGTTCTTTTAGTTTTCTGCAAAAGAGTACATGGGGATATATTTATAAATGCATGCATATTCAAAAATTTTCTTCTGCCCTTACATGTAAATGATAATGTGAATTTCATTTATGATTTTTGAATCATATTTTTGTACAATATTTTCATACAGTTCTTTATGTTGAAGGGGTTCCTGTAGCAGCCTGCATTTTCTTCTGCAGTACTTACCACAATCAGAAGTTACGCTCCATCAAGGCAGTGATTATCAGGTTTATACACTGCTATATTCCCAATGCCTAGAAAAATGCCTGACATATGATAATACCTCAGTAAACATTTGTCAATAAATAAGTGAATGAGGGGCGGGTGCAGTGGCTCACACTTGTAATCGACACTTTGGGAGGCCAAGGCGGGAGGATGGCTTCAACCCAGGAGTTCAAGACCAGCCTGGACAACATAGTGAGATCCCATCTCTACAAAAAATAAAATAATTGGCCATGTGTGGTGGTGCATGACTGTGGTCCCAGCTACTCAGGAGGCTGAAGTGGGAGGACTGTTTGAGCCCAGGAGGTGGAGGCTGCAGTGAGCCATGATTGCACCACTGTACTCCAGCCTGGGTAACAGAGCAAGTCTCTGTCTCAACAAATAGAAAAGAAAAGAAAAGAATAAATGAATGAATTAGAGGTTGTATATGTAATGTATTTCTTCTCCTCTGGACTATCAACTTAACAGAAAGAGGAATCTTCTACATTGTTTGCCTCTTGTGTTTCATACACAGTATCTGCCTCATAAAGATGTTGCATACATTTTTGTAAGCTAGTATAGGTTTGCATAAGTGAAATTCAGTAAAATGCATTCCGGTAAGACTCAAGTAGAAACTAATTATATATTCTTCTTCCTTCCTTTCCTTTTCCTTTTCCTTTTCTTTGTCTTACTCTTTCTGTTACCCAGGCTGGAGTGCAGTGGCCTGATCACAGCTCACTGCAGCCTTGACTCAGGTAATTTTTCCACCTCAGCTTTCTGAGTAGCTGGGACTACAGGCACACACCACCATACCTGGCTCATTTTTATACTTTTTGTACAAAAATACAAGGTTTTGCCATATTGCCCAGTCTGGTCTTGAACTCCTGAGCTCAAGTGATCCACCTGCCTTGGCCTCCAAAAGTGCTAGGACTACAGATGTGAGCCACTGTGCCCAGCCTAATTACATATTCTTATTTCAAGACCTCTTTGAAGATAAAACTTTAGTGCTAAATAATCATTCAGTATCATATCCTCTCAGCTTCTAGGACCAAATATTTGGCTTATCTCAACAACATGTATTCAGAATGCCCAATTCAATCTTGTCTTTGCAGAAAAAATCATTTTCTCTTATACACGATCCCAAAATATGCAAGAAAATATACATATTTTTCTCTTCTCCCCCTTGTTTCATAAACTGGTGTTGAGTTTTTAATTTTTATTGATGGTTTGGAATTTATAATGAAAATGAAAATGCTGATGAGGTCTTTGGCTGTAGTAACAAGAAGTATTACAGATGACTCAGAGAATAAAGCTGCCTCACATTACATTAAAACTCATCTCTTGGAAAATGGTGTAAATGGTTGACTGGAGATGAAGGTAATTTATCAATTTATGTGGTTGAGGCATATTACATGATCTTAACTTTCATAAAATTAAATCTGAATATATAACAATTTAAAATACCTTAATGCTAAGCCTTATCATTTGGCGAAGCCCCTTTTATCAAATTGAAACTCTAAAATTACCTACCATCATTTATCCCAATGGTATAACATGTCAATGGCTTACAATGTATCATTTATTTTCATAATCCATCCTTCATGAAAAATATTACCTAAAGTGTTTACCATAAAAGTGAGTGAAACCTAAGGCAAAGAAAAATAACAAAAATAGAATTAAAGAGAAATGACTCAGAGGATGGAAGACATTGATTTAGGAAGAATGAATGAAGGAGTTATAGGAGGATCCTATAATGTTAAGTTGTTACATCTTGCTAAAGGCCAAGCTCATTCTGCATATGTGAAGAGTTGATTGCATTATTTACATAGATGTATCCTGGGATTTGAACAAAGTTGTAAGTCAGTATAGAGGAAGTTGGGCATTCCAGGGTGAGCCTATTAGCGTACTCCAGAGTAGAAATATTGGAATGGTCTCATACAGAAGAGAGAGAATATAGGATAATTCGTCATTGATGACTTCCTCTGAATTAGGATATATTTATAATACTGTTTTTAAACCAGATAAAACTAGAGAAAATCTCAAGTAATTAGTCAATTTATTGTATTCCCCATCTTTCTTCTCTGAAACATTCCCTAGGTATACAGTAGTGCAAATATAAATTTCAAAAGAGAGAGGTGCTACAGACCCTCTTTGCAATCTGTATGTGTATCCAATCCTCTTGTCTTCTTCTTCATTCTGTTTCAAGAGGATAACACTTTAAAAATGTCTTTTGAATTCCTGATCGCCTTACCATTCCATTTCCACTGCCTTGTCACCTTTCACAAAGAGTACTGAGGTAGCTTCTTTAAAAAATATGTATAGTTTCAACTTTTATTTTAGAATCAGTGGGTACATGTGCAGGTTTATTACATGGGTATGTTTCATGAAGTTGAGTCCGTTACCCAGGTAGTGAGAAAAATACACAATAGTTGGTTTTTCAACCCTTGCCCCCTTCTTCTCTCCTCCCTCTAGTATTTGCCAGGATCTATTTTTCCCATCTTTATGTCCATGTGTACCCAATGTTTAGCTCCCACTTATAAGTGAGAACATGCAGTATTTGATTTTCCATTTCTGTGTTAATTCACTTAGGATAATGGCCTCCAGTTGCATCCATGTTGCCACAAAGGACATAATGTCATTCTTTTTTATGGCTACATAGTATTCCATGGCGTATATGTACCACATTTTCTTTATCCAATCCACCATTGATGGACACCTAGGTTGATTCCACGTTTTTGCTATTGTGAATAGTGCTGTGATTAGCATACAAGTGCATGTCTCTTTTGTGTAAAATTATTTATTGTCCTTTGGGTATATACCCAGTAATGAGATTGCTGGGTCAAATGGTAGTTCTATTTTAAATTCTTTGAGAAATCTCCAAATTGCTTTCCACAGTGGCTGAACTAGTTTACATTCCTACAAACAGTATATAAGTATTCCCTTTTCTCTGCAGCCTTGCCAACATCTGTTATTTTTTGACTTTGTAATAATAGCCATTCTGATTGGTGTGAGATGGCATCTTATTGTGGTTTTGATTTGCATTTCTTTGATGTTGATATAATCACCAAAAACGTAAACATTTAAGTTGCTATTGGTTACATGTTACATTTTCTGTTGTTTTTATTGTTGTGTAGTTCCTCCTGAGCTGGTTCGGCTCTGTGTCCCCACCCAAGTCTCTCACCTTGAATTGTAATAATCCCCTTGTGTTCTTGGAGGAACCCAGTGGGAGGTAATTGAATCATGGGGAGGGGGTTTCTTCCCATGCTGTTCTCATGATAGTGAGTAAGTCTCATGAGATCTGATGGTTTTATAAAGGGGAGTTCTCCTACACATGCCCTCTTGCCTGCTGCCATGTAAGATGTGGTTTTTGCCTTACACCATGACTGCGAGGCCTCCCCAGCCATGTGGAACTGTGAATCAATTAAACCTCTTTTCTTTACACATTACCCAGTCTCGGGTATGTCTTCATTAGCAACATGGGAACAGATTAATACAGTAAATTGGTACTGGGTAGTGGAGTGCTGCTGTAAAGACATCAGAAAATGTGGAAGCTACTTTGGAACTGGGTAACAGGCAGAGGTTGGAATGGCTTCGAGGACTCAGAAGAAGACAGAAAAGTATGGGAAAGTTTGGAACTTGCTAGAGGCTTGTTGATGGCTTTGACCAAAATGCTGAAGTGATATGGACAATAAAGTACAGGCTGAGGTGGTCTCAGATGGAGATGAGGGGTTTGTTAGGAATTGAAGCAAAGGTGACTCTTGTTATGCTTTAGCAAGGAGACTGGTGGCATTTTGCCCCTGCCCTAGAGATTTGTGGAACTTTGAACTTGAGAGAGATGATTTAGGGCATCTGGTGGAAGAAAGTTCTAAGCAGCAAAGCATTCAAGAGGTGGCCTGGGCGCTGTTAAAAGCATTCAGTTTTATTTATTCACAAAGATATGGCTTGGAATTGTAAGTTATGTTTAAAAGGAAAGCAGGGCATAAAAGTTTGGAAAATTTGCAGCTTGATGATGTGATAGAAAAGAAAAACTCATTTTCTGAGGAGAAATTCAAGCCAGCTGCAGAAATGTGCATGTAACAAGGAGCCAAATGTTAATACCCAAGACAATGGGGAAAAGTCTCTAGGGCATGTCAGAGACCTTCCTGGAAGCCTCTCCCATCACAGGACTGGAGACCTAGGAGGAAAAAATGGTTTCCTGGGCCAGGTCCAGGGCCCCATTGCTGTGAGGAACCTAGGGACTTGGTGTCCTACATCCTAGCTGCTCCAGCCATGGCTAAAAGGGGCCAAGGTAGAGCTCGGGTTGTGGTTTCAGAGGGTGCAGCTTGGCAGCTTCCACATGGTGTTGAGCCTGTGGGTGCACAGAAGTCAAGAACCAAGGTTTGGAAACCTCTGTCTCAATTTCATTGGATGTATGGAAATGCCTGAATGTCCAAGAAGAAGTTTGCTGTAGGGGCAGGGCCTTCATGGAGAACCTCTGCTATGGCAGTGCAGAAGGGGAATGTGGAGTTGGAGCCTGCACACTGAGTCCCCAATGGGGTGCTGCCTAGTGGAGCTGTGAGAAGAGGGGCACTGTTCTCCAGACCCCAGAATGGTAGATACACTAACAGCTTGCACTGTACACCTAGAAAAGACACTCAATGCCAGCCCATGAAAGCAGCCAGGAGAGGGGCTGTACCCTGCAAAGCCAAAGGGGTGGAGCTGCCCAAGGCTATGGGCGCCCAGTTCTTGCATCAGGATGTGAGACATGGAGTCAAAGAAGATCATTTCAGAGCGTTAAGATTTGGCTGCCCCGCTGGATTTTGGACTTGCATAGGCCCTGTAACCTCTTTGTTTTGGCCAATTTCTCCCATGTGGTATGGGTATATTTATGCAATGCCTATACCCCCATTATATCTAGGATGTAACTAATTTGCTTTTGATTTTACAGACTCATAAGTGGAAGGGACTTGCCTTGTTTCAGATGAAATTTTGGGCTTGGACTTTTGGGTTGATGCTGAAATGAGTTCAGTTTTTTGAGGATTGTTGAAAGCGCATGATTGTGTTTTTGAAATGTGAGGACATGAGTTTTGAGAGGGGCCAGGGGTGGAATGATTGTAGGGAAAAGAAAGAGAGATCAGACTGTTCCCATGTCTATGTAGAAAAGGAAGACATAAGAAACTCATTTTGATCTGTACCCTGAACAATTGTTTTGCCTTGAGATGCTGTTAATCTGTAACTTTACCCCCAAGCCTGTGCTCACAGAAACATGTGTTGTATGGAATCAAGGTTTAAGGGATCTAGGGCTGTGCAGAATGTACCTTGTTAACAATATGTTTACAGGCAGTATGCTGGTAAAAGTCATTGCCATTCTCCATTCTCGATTAACCAGGGGCACAATGCACTGCGGAAAGCCTCAGGGGCCTCTGCCCAAGAAAGCCTGGGTATTGTCCAAGGTTTCCCCCAACTGAGGCAGCCTGAGATACGGCCTCGTGGGAAGGGAAAGACCTGAATTTCCCCCAGCCTGACACCCATAAAGTGTCTGTGCTGAGGAAGATTAGTAAAAGAGGAAGGCCTCTTGTGGTTGAGATAAGAGGAAGGCCTCTGTCTCCTGCATGCCCCTGGGAATGGAATGTCTCAGTGTAAAACCCAATCATACATTCATTCTATTCTGAGATAGGAGAAAACCGCCCTGTGGCTGGAGGTGAAATATGCTGGCGGCAATGCTGCTCTGTTACTCTTTACTACACCGAGATGTTTGGGTGGAGAGAAGCATAAATCTGGCCTACATGCACATCCAGGCATAGTACCTTCCCTTGAACTTATTTGTGACACAGTTTCCTTTGCTCACATGTTTTCCTGCTGACCTTCTCCCCACTATCACCCCGTTCTCCTGCCACATTCTCCTTGCTGTGATAATGAAAATAGTAATCAATAAATACTAAGGGAACTCAGAGACCGGTGCCGATGCAGGTCCTCTGTATGTGGAGCGCTGGTCTCCTTGGCCCACTGTTCTTTTGCTATACTTTGTCTCTGTGTTTTATCTATTTTCTCAGTCTCCCCATCCCACCTGATGAGAAATACCCACAGCTGTGGAGGGGCTGGCCCCCTTCAGAGGATATGGTTTGGCTCTGTATGCCCACCCAAGTCTCACCTTGAATTATAATAATCCCCACGTGGGATCAATTGTGGGACCAGGTGGAGGTAATTGAATCATGAGGGTGTGTTCTTTCCATGCTGTTCTTATGATAGTGAATAAGTCTTACAAGTTCTGATGGTTTTATAAAGGGGAGTTCCCCTACACAGGACGTCTTGCCTGCCACCATGTAAGACGTGCCTTTAGCCTTCCACCATGATTGTGAGGCCTCCCCAGCCATGTGGAACTGTGAGTCAATTAAACCTCTTTCCTTTATACATTACCTAGTCTCAGGTATGTCTTCATTAGCAGTGTAAGAACAGACTAATATGCTGCTTCTACAGTTTATTGAATTTAACTTTTAAATCAAGTTGTGATTTTATTGTTGTTGTTGTCTTTGAGTCTTGCCATCCAAATCAAAACTGGGCTAATTTGTTGAAATAGTATCTATTGGGTTAAGGAGAGAATTGTTAGATGCAGCCTAAAAGAAAGAATTTAGTGTTCACTGTATCTATCATGAAAGGCTCTTTCTATTTGTTTTCTATTATAAAGTAATATGCTGTATTTCATGGCAAAGGCTTTAAATTGAAAACTCCAAGGCTTAAAATTTAAGCCTTGCATTTGGAAATAGACAACTAGCTCTACAGAAGTAGTTTTGTTTTGTTTTTGTTTTTGTTTTTTTGCAGTGGGGGGCTGGTATTTGGGGGCAGGGAGAGGGGGAAAAGTCCGTTTGCTGGTACTGAGTGACTTTGGGCAAGTTACTTGCCCTCTGTAAGCCTCAATTTCCTCATCTATAAAATGGGATAATATTAGCTTTCTTGTAGGATTGTTGGGAGAATTAAATGAGATAAGGAATATTTGTAAAGCAGTTAACATGAAACAGGCCCTCAATAAATGGAAACTAATTTTATTGTTTGTAATAGAAAACAACAATGTGTCAGCTTCTAGTAATAACTTTAAAATATTCTATGCATACTATATAGCAAAGGCAGTTTTACTTATAATCACAGAACATATAACACTAAGTATAGTTCTAATACTTAAGAAGCAAAATAACACCAGGGCAGTAACAAATGCTGGAGAGGAGGTAGAGAAAAGGAAACCCTCATATGTTGTTGATGAGAATGTAAATTAGTACAACCACTATGGAGAAGAGTTTGGAGGTTTCTCATAAAAGTAAAAATAGAGTTACCATATGACCCAACAATCTACTGGGTATATACTCAAAAGAAAGGAAATCAGTATATAGAAAATATATTTGCACTCCCATGTTTGTTGCAGCACTATTCACAACAGCCAAAATTTGGAAGCAACCTAAGTGTCCATTCACAGATGAATGGATAAAGAAAATGTGGCACTTATCTGCAATGGATTACTATTCAGCCATAAAAAAGAATGAGATCTTGTCATTTGCAATAACATGGATGGAACTGGAGGTCATTATGTTAAATGAAATAAGCCAGGCACAGAAAGACAAACATCACATGTTCTCACTTATTTTTGGATCTAGAAATCAAAACAATTGAAAACATGAAAATAGAGAGTAGAAGGATGGCTACCAGAGGCTGGGTAGTGTAATAGGGGTGGGGCGGGTAGGGAGGTGAGGATGGTTAATGGGTACAAAAAAAATAGTTGGAAAGAATGAATAAAGCCGAGTATTTGATAGCACAACAGGGTGACTATAGTCAATAATAATTTAATTGTACTTTCTAAAATAACTAAAAGAGTATAATGGGACTCTTTGTGACACAAAGAATAAATGCTTGAGGTGATGAATACTCCATTCTCCGTAATGTGATTATTACATATTGAATACCTGTATCAAAATATTACATGTACCCCATAAATATATACACCTACAATATACCCTCAAAAATTAATTTTTTTTTTTTTGAGATGGAGTCTTGCTCTGTCACCCAGGCTGGAGTGCAGTGGCGCGATCGCAACTCACTGTAACCTCCGCCTCCCAAGTTCAAGAGATTCTCCTGCCTCAGCCTTCTGAGTAGCTGAGATTACAGGCACGTGCCACCACACCCAGCTAATTTTTGTATTTTTAGTAGAGATGGGGTTTCATTATGTTAGTCAGGCTGGTCTTGAACTCCTGACCTCGTGATCCGCCCACCTCGGCCTCCCAAAGTGCTGGGATTACAGGCATGAGCCACTGTACCCGGCCAAAAATTTTAAAAAATACCAGGGGACATATCAGCATATCTGAGCCACTCTGACTTTTTATCAGTTTCCGGAAGACACCCATCTCCTTCTTACCTCTAGGCCTGTGTATTTCCATTCCCTTCAGCCTGGAAAGCTCTTATCCAAGCTATTTACATGGCTGGCTTCTTATTCTTTAGTTGTTAGCTTAATGTCAACTCCTTACAGAGACCCTACCTGATTATCTTAGCTCAATTAGGCCGTTCCTTGCTCTAGTCACTTTTATAGCATCCTATATATTTCCTTCAGAGAGGTTGTCACAACCTGAATTACCTTATTTTTTTGTTGTTGTTTACTTGCTTACTATCAGTCTCTCCCATTAAGCTCCAATGACATGGTCAAGGACCACATCTATTTGTGGCCCATTGAAGACCCCTTGCCTAACACAGTGTCTGGTACATGTTGAATTGTCAATAAATATTTGTTGAAACAATTGGTTAATAAATACTGTTCCTGAAAGCCTCTCTGCCACTGTCTCTGCAGTAGAACTGCCCTTGCTACCCTCAGACTAATGAAGAAGAAAAGACCCTAAGTACCTTATTTATACCTCCAACAAGCTGCAATCAACCCAAGAAGAGGAGGCCAGTCTGTCTCCCATGGTTCCCACACCCCCAACCCCCACTCATCACCAGAGAGAACCCCTGGCTTGAGCCCACAGCACAGACCCTTCATCCTGGGGTGATTGCACTGAGGAATTGCTGACCTACATCTCTCTGGTGTGGAGCTCCCAGGATACAAGCAAAAGACCCTTGACCACAACCACTACTAAGGTCCTTTCCTCTGTTGCCGCCAAGTTGAGGAAGGAACGTAAACACTGACATTGCCCCAGAGCTGCAGTGGGCAGCCAGGAGTGTCAAACCACAATCTATAGCCATACAGCTGGCACTGAAGGGGGAGAGGAACCCACACTTTCAGAGCATTGAGAGTGAACACAGCTGTAACTATGAGAAAACACAGAGGAGCCACACAACTGAGCAAGAGTCTACCAGTTGACCAATAAGCCTAAGTGCCACCTACTGGATCACACCCCAAAGCTTCAACACCAAGAATACCTCACTAACATACTCACCTCTGAAACTAGAGACAAGAAGTCAGCTTCAAAAAAAGACCCTGCACAAGGCCTCAGCCTAGTGAAAACAGCCAGAAATCTATTGACTGTACTCAATCTATATGGCAGTTAAAGGAACACCCACACATGGAGATGAGAAAGAACTAACGCAAGAACTCCAAAAATTAAAACGGCCAGAGTGTCATATGTGCTCCAAATGACCATACAAATTCTCTAACAAGAGTGTTTATCCAGGCTGAGCTGGCTGAAATGACAGAAATAGAATTTAGGATACGTATAGGAATGAAGATCATTGAGATTCAGGAGGACAGCAAAACCCAATCCAAAGAAACTACAAATCACAATAAAGTGATACAGGAGCTGAAAGACAAAATAGCCAGTATAATAAAGAACCTAATGGGTCCGACATAGCTGAATAACACAGTACAAGAATTTCACAATGCAATCACAAGTATTAATAGTAGAATAAACCAAGCTGAGGAAAGAATCTCAGAACTCGAAAACTGGCTTTCTGAAATAAGACAGTCAGACAAAAATAAAGAAAAAAGAATAAAAAGGAATGAACAAAACCTCCAAGAAGTAGGGGATTATGTAAAGAAGCCAAATCTACAAATCACTGTCATCCCTGAAAGGAAGGGGGAGAAAGCAAACAGTTTGGAAAACGTATTTCAATATATTGTCCATGAAAACTTCCACAACCTTGCTAGAGAGGACAACAGTCAAATACAGGAAATACAGACAACTCCTGCAAGATTCTACACAGGAAGATCATCCCCAAGACACATAATTGTCAGATTTTCCAAGGTAAAAATGAAAGAAAGAATGTTAAAGGCAGCCAGAAAGAAAACGCAGGTTACCTGCAAAGGAAATCCCATCAGGCTTACAGTGGACCTCTCAGCTGAAACCCTATAAGCCAAAAGAGATTGGGGGCCTATATTCAACATTCTTACAGAAAACAATCTTCAACCAATAATTTTATATGCAGCCAAACTAAGCTTCCCAAGCAAAGGAAAAATAAGATTCTTTTCAGATAAGCAAATGTTGAAGGAATTCTTTACTACCAGACCTGCCTTACTAGAGATCTCAAAAGAAGCACTAAATATAGAAAGAAAAGATCACTACGAGCTAATACAAAAACACACTTAAACACACAGAATAGTGTCACTGTAAAGCAACCACACAAACAAACCAACATAATAATCAGCTAACAACACAATGACAGGATCAAATCCACACATAACAATGGTAACTTTGAATGTAAATGGGCTAAATGCTCAACTTAAAAGGCACAGAATGACAAGATGGATAAAAAAGCAAGTCCCAATGGTATGCTGTCTTTAAGAGACCCATCTCACACATAATGACACCAAAAGGCTCAAAATAAAGGCATGGAGGAAAATCTACCAAGCAAATGGAAAACAGAAAAAAGCTGAGGTTGCAATCTTAATTTCAGACAAAACAAACTTCAAAACAACAAAGATCAAAAAAGACAAAGAAGGGCATTACATAATGGTAAAGGGTACGATTCAACAACAAGATGCAACTATCCTAAATGTATATGCACCGAACACAGGGGCACCCAGATTCATGAAGCAAGTTCTTAGAGACCTACAAAGAGGCATAGACTCCCACACATTAATAGTGGGAGACTTCAACACTCCACTGACAATATTAGACACATAATTGAGGCAGAAAATTAACAAAGATACTCAGGACCTGAACTCAACATTGGAGCAAATGGATCTGATATACCTCTTCAGAGCTCTCTACTCAAAAACAGCAGAATATACATTCTTCCCATCGCCATATGGCATCTACTCTAAAGGCAACTACATAATTGGATGTAAAACAATCCTCAGCAAATGCAAAATAACTGAAATAATACGAAACACACTCTCTGACCGCAGCGCAATAAAAACAGAAGTCAAAGACCAAGAAAATCATTCAAAATCAGGCAATGACATGAAAACTAAACATGCTCCAGAATGGCTTTTGGGTAAATAATGAAGTTAAGGCAGAAATCAAGAAGTTCTTTGAATCTAATGAGAACAAAAATACAACATACCAGAATCTCTAGGACATAGCTAAGGCAGTGTTAAATGGGAAATTCACAGCACGAAATGCCCACATCAAAAAGTTAGAAAGATCTCAAATTAACAACTTAACGTAACAGATGAAGGAATTAGAGAGGCAAGAACAAATCAACCACAAAGCTAGCAGAAAACAAGAAATAACCAAAATCAGAGCTGAAATGAAGGAATTTGAGACACGAGAAACCATTCAAAAGATCAACAAATCCAGGAGTTGGTTCTTTTAAAAAATTAATAAGACAGATAGGCTACTAGCTAGACTAATAAAGAAGAAAAGAGAGAAGATCCAAATAAACACAACTGGAAGTGACGAAGGGAATGTTACCACTGACCCCACAGAAATAAAAATAACCACTAGAAACCACTATGCACACAAACTAGAAAACCTAGAAGAGATGGATAAATTCCTGGACACATACACCCTCCCAAGACTGAACCAGGAAGAAACTGATCCCCTGAATAGACCAATAATGATCTCCAAAAGTAAGTCAGTAATAAATAGCCTACCAACCAAACTAAAGCTCAGGACCTCATGGATTCACAGCTGAATTTTACTATATGTACAAAGAAGAGCTGGTACCATTTCTATAAAAACTATTCCAAAAAACTGGGGAGGAAGGACTCCTCCCTAGCTCATTCTATGAAGCCACCATCATTCTGATACAAAAACTTGGCAGAGACACAACAAAAAAGAAAACATCAGGCCAATATCCTTGATGAACATCAATGCAAAAATCCTCAGCAAAATAATTTCAAACTGAATCCAGCAGCACATCAAAAAGCTAATCCACCATGATCAAATAGACTTCATTCCTGGGATGCAAGATTGGTTCAACATACGCAAATCAATAAATGTGATTCATCACATAAACAGAACTAAAGACAGAAACCACATAATTATCTCAATAGATGCCGAAAACGCTTTAGATAAAATTCAACACCCCTTCATGTTAAAAACTCTCAATAAACTAGGTATTGAAGGAACATACCTCAAAATAATAAGAGCCATGTTTGACAAACCCACAGTCAACATCATACTGAATGGGAAAAGCTGGAAGCATTCCCCTTGAAAACTGGCACAAGACAAGGATGCCTTCTCTCACCACTCCTATTCAACATAGTATTGGAAGTCCTAGACAGAACAGTCAGGCAAGAAATAGAAATAAAGGGCATCCAAATAGGAAGAAAGGAAGTCAAACTATCTCTCTTTGCAGATGACATTATTCTATATCTAGAAAACCTCTTTTTTTTTTTTTTTTGAGACAGAGTATCACTCTTGTTGCCCATGTTGGAGTGCAGTGGCATGATCTCGACTCACCACAACCTCCGCCTCCCGGGTTCAAGTGATTCTCCTGCCTCAGCCTCCCAGAGCAGCTGGGATTAGTGGTATACACCACCATGCCTGGCTAATTTTGTATTTTTCAATAGAGACAGGGTTTCTCCATGTTGGTCAGGCTAGTCTCGAGCTCCTGACCTCAGGTGATCCACCCACCTCAACCTCCCAAAGTGCTGGGATTACAGGCGTGAGCCACAACACCTGGCCTATATCTAAAAAACCTTATAGTCTTGGCCCAAAATTTCCTTCAGCTGATAAACAACTTCAGCAAAGTTTCAAGATACAAAATCAACGTACAAAAAACACTAGTATTCCTGTACACCAACAACAGCCAAGACAAGAGTTAAATCAGAAAGGCAATCCCATTCACAGAAAGAATCAAATATCTAGGAATATAGCTAACTAGGGAGGTGAAAGACCTCTACAATGAGAATTACAAAGCACTGCTCAAAAATATCAGAGAAGACACAAACAAATGGAAAAACATTCCATGCTCATGGATAGGAAAAATCAGTATTATTAAAATTGTCATACTGCCCAAAGAACTTACAGATTCAATGCTATTCCTACTAAAGTGCCAACAACCTTTTTCATGGAACTAGAAAAATCTATTTTAAAATTTATATAGAACCAAAAAGAGCTCAAATAGTCAAGGCAATCCTAAGCAAAAATAACAAAGCTGGAGGCATCATGTTACCTGACTTCAAACTATACTACAGGGCTACAGTAACCAAAACAGCATGGTAATGGTACAAAACCAAGCACATAGACCAATAGAACAGAATAGAGAGCCCAGAAATAAGGCCACACACCTACAATAATCTGATCTTCAACAAAGCTGGCAAAAACAAGCAATGAGGAAAAGACTCCCTGTTCAATAAATGGTGCTGGGGTGACTAAGTAGCCACATGCAAAAGATTGAAGCTGGACCCCTTCTTTATACCATTTACAAAAATAAACTCAAGATGGATTAAAGACTTAAATGTAAAACCCAAAACTATAAAAACTCTGGAAGACAACCTAGGCAATACCATCTTGGACATAGAAACAGACAAAGATTTCATGACAAAGACACCAAAAGCAATTGCAAGAAAAGCAAAAATTGACAAGAGGGATCTAATTACTCTTAAGAGCTTCTGCATAGCAAAAGAAATTATCAACAGAGTAAAGAGACAACCTACAGAATGGGAGACAATTTTCAAACTGTGCATCTGACAAAGGTCTAATATCCAGCATCTATAAGAAACTTAAACAATATTACAAGAGAAAAACAACCCCATAGAAAGTGGGCAAAGGACCCCTTAGAAAGTGGGCAAAGAACATAAACAGACACTTTTCAAAAGAAGGCATACATGTGGCCAAGAAGCACATGAACAAAAGCTCAATATTACTGATCATTAGAGAAATGCAAATCAAAACCACTATGAAGATACCATCTCACACCAGTCAGAATGGCTATTACTAAACAGTCAAAAAAAAAAAAAAAAAGAAAAAAACAACAACAACCAGATGCTGGTGGTGAGGTTACAGAGAAATGAGAACATTTATATGCTGTTGATAGGAGTGCAAATTAGTTCAACCATTGTGGAAAGCAGTGTGGTGATTCCTCAAAGAGCTAAAAGCAGAACTACCATTTCACCCAGCAATTCCATTACTGGGTATATACCCTGAAGAATATAAATCATTCTACCATAAAGACACATGCATGCAAATGTTCATCTTGGCTTGGTTTCTCATTCTTTTGTTCACTTTTCAGAGTCATTTTCCTACCATTCATTTGTGCATGCAGTGTCTGAATTTCAGATAACAAACTCCTATGTGCTTTCTGGAGGCATTCCATAGCTGCTTGATATTCAACAGCACTATTTACAATAGCAAAGACATAGAATCAACCTAAATGCCCATCAACAACAAACTGGATAAAGAAAATTTGGTACATTTATGCCATGGAATACCGTGCAGCCATAAAAAAGAATGAGTTCATGTATTTCGTGGGAACACGGATGGTGCTGGAGGCTATTATCGTTAGCAAACTAACACAGAAACAGAAAACCAAATACCACATGTTCTCACTTATAAGTGGAAGCTAAATGATGAGAACTTACAAATGCGAAGGAGACAACAGACACTGGGGTCTACTTGAGGGTGGAGGGTGGGAGGAGGGAAAGGAGAAGAAAAGATAGCTATTGGGTACTGGGCTTAATACCTGGGTGATGAAGTAATCTGTACAACAAACCCCCATGACATGAGTTTACCTATGTAACAAACCTTCACATGTACCCCCAAACCTAAAATAACACTTTTTTAAAAATAATCAATATTGTCCCAGTCCTCCATTTTACAGATATGGAAGTTGTGATTAAAATGTGATTAATGTCACAGAAATACTAGGAAAGCCAAGCTTCTAACAGTCATTCCAGGGTCATTGCCAGGGTGTCAAATCCTATGTCACTGCACAGTATTACTATAACAACAAAGTGTCCCTTTCCTGACTTCCTATTCCCCATTCTTGATCCAGCATCTTTGGGATCCACTTCCAGGCATTTTCTCTGGGGTCCTGCTGGCTTAAGTCAGCCAGATCCTGCAGCGCCTTTGCCATATGATCCTCCCCTCCCTTAACAGACACTGTACTTACCCAGTTGGATTATACTGAAACTTAGTCCTCATACTGTCTGGTATCGGGGAGAGAAGTGGGGGTAGATTCTGAGCAGGACCAACATTGTTTTGTAGGACACTTGACTTACTCGAAGCTTATAGTTTTCAAGCAAGGAGAAGGTCTTCCATCTTCCAGCAAGGGAGTGGGCCACGTCTGTAGGCCCAGATATTCCGGAGAAGCTGGGAGGCCAAGGTCCTTAAGTGTGTCTAATAAGTTTCCCCATTCCAATTCTCATGTTCCCACTTTTTTCCAATCAGGACCCTGATTCTCTTGAAGGAGACTTACACAGGCTGAGAATTAACCTTCTCTGGCATTCTGCCACTCATAAGTACAGGCTGCACCTGGGCTTCAGTTCAGTTGGCCTTCTGGCTGCCAGTGATGAGGGACTTTTTAAAGGCTTCCATGGAGGCCCTTTGACTCTCACACTTGGGTTTAAATTGGTGGTTAATAGATTTGATCCTGGCATCTATACTTAGTGCATCAATGGTGCTTAGCAATACCCTCCCAATTCAACAATCTTTCAAGTTACTTTTCCACCTGTACTCTCAAATACTAGATACATCACAGAAGTTAATGCATTCGCTTCTACTTATATGCTGTCCTGGTTCACTACAAGTAAAAGTGTTAGCAATTTCACTGCAGGAGCACATCTGAGACTATCTTCAGGGAAGAGATTCTGATGGAACCACTGGTGAGTGAGCAAACTCCAGAATCCCATCCTCAGACTCAGGTGTATATAATTACTACTGCTATCAACTGTCTTAGATTGGGCTCTTGCAGCTGACCCTGAGAATTAGATTCCTGTCCAAGTGATTGCCTGAGGGAGTGCTCTCAGAAGAAATCTGAACAGCGAGGAAGGAAGCAGAATAGGACAGGAAAAGAAGCTGGGAAAGATATGGGTTTAGCTGAAGTCTAGCCTCAGTCTGATCCCACAGGGAGTTCTGGAGCCTCAGTTCTGTACACCCATATCAATCAGTCATTGGCTATGAGCTACCCACGGGGGAAGGCTGTTACCTTCCAGGCATTTTCTGAAATTGTTGGCTTGAATGGAATCCTCAGGGAAAGAGTGTGAACTATTAGCAGCCAACACTCTCAGCAGCTAAGGGATGAGTACGCCAGCTCATTGAAGAGATTCTGGACAGGACACCAACAGCATCTTCAGTAAAGATGTACTTCAATGGTAAGGACACTGAACCCAGAAAGAAGGAGTCACATGCAAGAAGAAATGGTGGACCAAGAAATGTATAAACATCTGGCTGTATCTGAATAAGCACTCTTATACACTACAATAATGGGGAACAATGGCTAATTTGGAGATGGAGGGTATTTAAAAGGCAGAATTTAAACAATAAACATTAATAAGGAATATGGGGTAATTAGTATTGAAAGTTTCTAAAGCCCTTGTATTTTTGAGGTGAAGGGTAAATATATTAATTAAATTTAGATTTTATTATGTCAAGTTATACTTGTAAAAATTTAATGGAGCTCCCAGATGTAGGGAGTAAATTAAACACATGCATCAAATTTGGTCCTCCCCAAATCCAGTTAATTTGTCAGTGAATTTTTTTAAGTCCTGGGCCATGGGAAAATAAACAATAATAACACAATTTTGGAAAATTGGATGAGTGAGAAAAGACTTAGCAGAACTCCCAAATTAAAGTACTAAACCAGCAGCAGGAAAGCCAAGAAGCAACTTGTTTGACACTCAAGAGCCTTCAAGTGTCAGGAATTGGCAGCATCAGATTCTTCTGGAAGTGTGGTGAAGAGGAGAGACTAAAATGAGAATGATGCATTGAAAGTTTATTTAAGAAGCAGTCAGATCACTAGATCCTTTCCAATCATGAAAAGGTACACTACCGCTTCTATTTCCCTTCTCTTTCCCAGGAAGCATATTCACAGGAGAGAGAGAACAGGTTTCCTGCTTGGGGATCCCAAGCAGAGTTGAAGTTGGGAGCACTGTACTGAACAAAGCCAGCTTAAGAAAATGCATGCATATTGAATGCCCACCTCTCTCTACCCCACTATCTCACTTGACCCAGATCCAAAATAGTAATAGCAGACTTTGACTCTTCTGACAGGAGATTGGAAGAATCTTACCTGATCAGTCCAGGAGGAAAACCTAAATGCAGTAACATCAGGGTTCCCTAACTAAGCTGTCCAGAACTTACCATCTTCACCAAAACAAGAAATTAAACCAATAAAGTGGAAGATCAGGGCAACACACCCAGGACATACACCCAGGTTGGGAGACACATGTAGGAGAGTAAGACAGTGAGGCCAGAATGATGGTGAGGGAAAGTCCCAAGATGACAGCTTTATGTCTTATGCATCAGGTATAAAGACCAATAGGCCATCAGAAGAATGAAGCATATTTTGTCAGGAAGATGAAAGCAATGCATCTTAGTAGATTAAGAGAAGATTTAGAGAACTGGTAAATAATTTGGGATTAAATTAGTGATAAGTACATAGAAAACTAAGCAAATGGTAAAACAAGATAATTAGCTCCAGGGCAAGCAAAAAGCTGCTCAGGAAAGAAAAATTTATCATAGTTTCCTACATGGCTCAGCTGTGAACAGTTTGTGCATAGTTACATTAATGTAAATATATTGCTTGATATCAAACGCAAACATAAAATGACTGTATTGTGAGGGCGTGAAGAGGAAAGAAGGCACATATATGGTGGGAGCAGTCATTTTCTAGAGTGGGAAGTCAATAGATAATACCAAAAACTGGAAAATTGAGAAATATAAGAAATTGAGAAATGAATGTTTTTTAGAGACATGGAAGTAGATACCAACATGACCAGTAAAAGAAATGTAAATGATTGTTTCAGGGGAAGGAGGGAGGGATATAAGGCTCATGAGGAAGTATTTGATATTTTCAACTATGAGTTTTTAAAATTTTTGGTGAAATAAAATCTAAATATAAAAACAAAGATGGAATGGGAATATAATGAAATATTCAACTAAAAATATTTTAATGGCAACTACTGAAAGAATGCAAAGAAAATATATAATTTCCAAACCAGTATGAGGAGAAAAAAGAAAAAGAGAAAAAAATAAAACACTTCAGTAATCCCTTAGAAAACAGGAAAGAAGAATGGAAGAAGCAAAGCAGAAGCTTGGTAATAAAGAAAAGAAAAAAAAAGTAAAAGAGGCTGAGCACAGTGGCTCATGCCTGTAATCCAACACTTTGGGAGGCTGAGGTGGGCAGATCACTTGAGCCTAGGAGTTCAAGACCAGCCTGGACAAGATGGTGAAACCCCGTCTCTACAACAAATACAAAAATTAGCCAGGTGTGGCAGCTCGCGTCTGTAGTCCCAGCTACTTGGGAGGCTGGGGTGGGAGGATTGCTTGAGCCTAGGAAGTAAAGGCTGCAGTGAGCAGTGAGCTGAGATTGTGCCACTGCACTTCAGCCTGGGCAACAGAGCAAGACCCTGTCTCAAAGAAAGGAAGGATGGAAGGAAGGAAGGAAGGAAGGAAGGAAGGAAGGAAGGAAGGAAGGAAGGGAGGGAGGAAGGGAGGGAGGAAGGAAGGAAGAAAAAGGAAGGGAAGAGGGACGGAAGGACAGAAGAGAGAAAGAGAGAGAGAGTGAGATTCAACTAAGGTAACCAGGCAAGCTTTGGAAGAGAAGTGTAAGAAGAAGAAAGGGATTTTAAAGAATGTGTGGATAAGTGTGACAGTCTTCAGCCAAACAAACTGATTCCCAGCAGTCAAAGACAAGTACTCAAGCACTGCAGGGCCATGAGGACCTTGAGAAAAAGGAAAGGTGGTAAGGAAATCACTCAGAGCGGGCCCTGGGTGCTGGCCAATAGGTGGTGCTGTCTGTATGGACAGCAATGTTGTCATCCAGAGCAGCAACACAGTGGAAAGGAAATCCAAAGCTTAATGAGCCATTCACATATAAGAACCTTTGCCAGCTAAGTGTTGATAATTTGAGAATTACATATATTTCAGTATTCATTATATGACTCAAGATTTCAATATTTCAATATTCAATCTACACAACTGATATCGTTTGGCTCTGTGTCCCCACCCAAATCTCATTTCAAATTGTAATCCCCACATGTTAGAGGAAAGGCATGGGGGGAGGTGATTGGATCATGGCGGTGGATTTCTCTCTTGCTGTTCTCATGATAGTGAGTAAGTTCTCAAAAGATCTGATATTTTTAAGGTGTGGCAATTCCCCCCTTGCTCTTTTACTCTCTCTTGCCACCATGTAAGATGTGTCTTGCTTCTCCTTCACCTTCTGCCATGATTGTAAGTTTCCCCAGCCCTGCAGAACTGTGAGTCAATTAAACCTCTTTTTCTTTATAAATTACCCATTCTCAAGTAGTTCTTTATAGCACTGTGAAAATACAATAACCAACACTTATACAATACAATAACCAACACTTAACTAGTATTAATTATATACCCCTATTAAGCAAAAGGATTTCTTGAGTGAAGTAAACCCAATAACCAGTATTTCTTTTCAAAAACATCTATAAAAATACTAGGTTTCTATAAAATTTTCCAGATACCACTTGATAGTCATTCAATTGAACATTGAATATGCTTTGTCTCAATTTCCAACATTCAAGATAAATATTTTTTCTATTTTATTACCTTTTTCATTTTATCATTAAAATTATTATATCATATTTTTTCATTTTTAAAGAGAGAGTATTTCAGTAACTTTATAAATTAAGTAAGTTTTTGCTGGCCATTTTGGAAAACTAAACAACTATTTTAAAAGAGGAAAACGCACACCGGAATCAACAAGTAAAAATTGAATGTCATTTTTATTACTATTTTTACTTATAAGAATTATAGAAATATTTGGTTATTTCAATTCCCTATGTGTATAACTCATCACAATTTGATAAGGAGATAGGTTTAAGTGTATGTGTATATAAAAAGAGACTGAAAGGAAAAAGATAAGTAGTTATCTCTGATTGGTTGTTGGGATTAGCTATATTTTCCAAATACTCTAGAATGAATATGTATTACTTTCGTATTATTAATTGGGTTAGGGATTAAAAAAAAATTAGGCCTGTATGTTAAAGTTGAACCAGCATCGTCAGGAAGGATATAAAAATCACCTGCCAAACAATGTCCATTTCAATTTACTGTATGTCCTTTCTAGGACCACTGTGAGCAGTTGTAGGTACCTGTGAGAGTGCTCAATGTAAAAAAAAATTTCTGTTACCCTAAATTGGGTTAATGATAAGTGTCTAAAGGAGATGTAGATCTAGCATATAAGACCTTCTAGAGAAATTTAAAGACATCAGGAATGAAGGCTGCAGAGGAGTACTTTGGAAAAAAAGTTTAGTAATGAAAAGCAATATGAATTGTTTCAGAAATACCGTGACTTGGAGACATGGGAAGTGTATCAAACAGAAGTCGAGGACAGACATAAATGAAGTGACTGGCTTTCAATACGACAGATGTCCAAGACGGAAAAATGTCACCCAGGGCAAGAAAATGACTCAGGCTGGAATAAAGAAACTAGCTGCAGAGAGAATAATTTAATCAGGAAATCGAAGCCAGGTACAGTCACTCACGCCTGTAATCCCAGTGACTCCAGAGCCTGAGGCAGGAGGATTGCTTGAACCCAGGAGTTTGAGGCTGCAGTGAGCTATGATTGCACCACTGCACTCCAGCCTGGGCAACAGAGTAAGACCTCATCTCTACCAAAAAAAAACAAACAAACAAACAAAACCCATAGGGAACCAAGTGGAAGACTTAGGATCTATTGTCTTCTTTTATCTCAAGCTGGTGGAAATAGCTCTGCATTTAAAGGTAGAAATAAGGATGGAGCAGATAGACAACCCAAAACTAAGAGTCATAACTATAAAATACCTAAATACATATTAATTTTCACCAAGCTAAAGTGAAAAATGAAATGTTCAATACTATCTATGCTGTATTTGTACGTATGGGATATGGTGTGTGGTGGATACTGGGCTGGGCCCTTGAAACTATGAGGCTAATAACACTGAGAAGGGAAGATGGGAGAAAAAGCAGTATGGGAGGTCTTAAAGTCTTGGTAACTTCAGAAATGTGCTAGGATTTGTGGGCAGCAGATATTTCAAAACATTAAGTAAAGAACACTGGAGTTAAAGGCATGGAGCTTCAGAAAGTTATTAGCACTGATAGCCAACCACGGTGGTGGGTGCCTGTAGTCTCAGTTACTTGGGAGGCTGGGGTGGGAGGATTGCTGGAGCCCAGGAGTTCAAGGCTGCAGTGAGCTATGATCATATCACTGCACTCCAGCCTGGGTGACGGAGACCCCATCTTTAAAACAAAACAAAACAAAGATAAGAAGAAAAGAAAGTTACTGGCACTGAGAGCCAGACAGATGCCCAAAGTAAGAGCCCATTAAGAATTTCCACCATGAGATAACTGGAACAGTAATTTTCATATTAAAAATAGCTTTCTTCCTGCACTTAAAGGGATGGTTCGAGGAAGCAGATTCTAAAGGAGAGGTGAAAAAGAAGACATGCTCTGGATGTTTGGAGATACAGCTATAAGCCAACATCCTCGGCAAGCCCTGTACCACCCCAATGCCACCACTCCCTGTTCCAGTGGGTAGACATGGGTGGGAGCAGCATGAGTGATTACCGTTAGGGGGCTAATATCACCGTCTTTATTTCATCATGTCTCCAACATCCTGAGAAGGACATAGTGGCCACTATCCCTCAACCAAAGAAACTGATGAGTGCAGTAGGAACCTGCTTTGGAGGGTTCACATTGGGACTCATCAAGGTGGAAGGTAAAAATCTGAAGATACAATTGAAATCTAGATAGCCTTGAATGGTATGGACAAGGAGACATAAAATCTGCTTACTAAATCAGAATAATAAGATGAAAGGTCAATAATAAGCATAGAAAGGTCAATAATGGAATAATAATAGTAGAGGTCATCCCTAGAAGGTTGAAAACATTTTCAAGTAAATATAAGAAACTCCTTATTGTAAGTAGTAGTGCAGGCTGGAAAAATATACTTATTTAGTTCAAATCATGTGACAGGCACTAGGAATAAAGTTAGTCCCTGCCCTCACAGGGTTCAAGGTCTAAATGGAATAATAGATATGAAATAACTCAACAAGTAAATAGCTCAGCTGTTGGAAATCAAACAAGGAGAAGAAAAGAAAAAGGACATAGTGCTATAAAAGAAAATCTTTATAAAATTCAAAACCATTTAAAATATGTCGCCATTGATTTCCTTATTAATAGGTTTTAATACCTCCATCTTTCTCTAATAGTTTTCAGTTTATTAGAAATAGTATGTGAACTTTTTAGATTAAAAATTTCCAGCACAGATTTATCACTTATTATATCCTTTTATTCCTTGAAATGGATGATTGTCAGGTAGAAATTTAGGACAAAGGAGCTGGAAAATATTCATGAGACTCAGGAACAAAGCTATTACTCCAACTGTAAGGTTTCATTATAAGCACGTAAATATAGTTCAAAGTTACCACATCTGTAAACTCAAAAATGCTGCTCACTTGGCTGGATCCAATCAATATTTGCTAACCATTATTTTAGTTATTCTTCATATAGACAGACGCTTTGTTTCTTAGAAGAAATCACTGTCCATAACCAAAAAAAAACTTAATTGTGAAATGGTTTTATTTAAAACAGTCTTTTCTGGTTATTGAACATTTCATATGAATAAATTAATCTTCATGCATATGATAGCTTATCTGAAATAGCTTCCCAATTCTTTAAAATACCAAAGGCTTCTTTTCTCAGAATAAGGCATTTTGCCATCACGTGGTTTATTAGCAGAATAGGAAAATTAATCTTATTCTAAGCAAAAGCAGAAATATAATTAGCCAAACCAAGAAAAGTGTGACATTTGCCCATGAACTCTTCATTCAGATAATATATCTATTTTGGGAACTCATGAGACAGAAGCAAGACAAAAATATGAGAAGATATTAGGTTTCTCTAACTATTGTTCAAAATTAGAAAATGGATGTGGCTTTTATGTTGACTCTTTCAATACCTATATGAAGATAGTTAAAGGATGTATGAAATTAAAAAGCGACATCAGTGATTATTAGTAACTACTTCACAGGAAGCAAACGGGAGTATCATTGTAGTTAGTGGTATGTGAACGACTGATTGTACTGGTTTATCTTCATGCTCTCGCCTCTTCTCTTTAACTCTACGCAGTACATAGTATGGGATTATCTTTACCACATGCCCCTAGAGATTCTGTTTCACTTCACTCAGAACCTAGAAACCACTTGCTCCAAAACTTGAAAAATATTAAGAGCTGATGTCCCCAGACTGCTCCTCAACCTTGAGCTCGAACCACTAAGCTCCAGGGTAAATTCGTTTAAAATGATTGTGCTTAAATTTTCATGTGGGTCTAAATTTGCTGGGAGAGAAAGTCTTTTGTTTGTATTTTCGCACATTGAGAATATTTACCATGATTATTACACTGAAGAGCCTAACTATTCATTTACCCCATTTTTAAGATGTAGTAAAGACATTTTCCTCTGTGGAGGAAGCTATTGTGCAAGATTTTATCATGTATTGGCGGAAAATTTGAGTGTCTGAATTTTGTTTCACATATGTGTTCAGCTTTGCATGTGTATTTCTGTGTGCATATAGAACATAGAAAAGAGTCTAGATTAGAAGATAATGTACTGACAATGTTCAAAGTGATTATTTCATCACGCAGGTAATAAGCATAGTACTCCATAGGAAGTTTTTTGATTCTCTCCCTCCTCCCAGCCTCCACCCTCAAGTAGGCCATGGTGTCTCTTTTTCCGCTTTTTGTGTTCATGTGTTCTCATGGTGTATCTCCCACTTATAAGTGAGAGCATGCAGTATCTGGTTTTCTGTTTCTGCATTAGTTTGCTTAGGATAATGGCCTCTAGCTCCATCCATATTGCTGCAAAGGACATGATCTTTTTCTTTTTTATGGCTGCTTAGTATTCTGTGGTGAATATGTACCATATTTTCTTTATTCAGTCTACTATTGATGGGCATATAGGTTGATTCCATGTCTTTGCTATTGTGAATAGTGCTGCAATGAACATACATGTGCATGTGTTTTTATGGCAGGATGATTTACATTCCACTGGGTATATGCCCAATAATGGGATTGCTGGGTTGAACGGTAATTCTATTTTAAGTTTTTCAAGGAATTGCTACGCTACTTTTCACAATGGCTGAACTAATTTACATTCCCACCAGCAGTGTATAAGCGTTACAAAAGATTATTTATGAAGACAGAGATTATATGGGAGTATTCTTTTCTTTAGCATGTTCCTCTTTATTTTCTAGATTTTTTTTGCAGTGAGCATACCTTACTTCATGATGAGGAAAAAAATTGTTATTTCTCCAAAATGACTGAGCAGTTTGTATGAACACAATACTGCAATAAGTAATTACGGGAATTAAAAAAAAACTTTTTTTCTTTTTTGGAGCTTTCAATATTCACAAATAAATTGACGCTATGTGATAATATTTGTATTGCCTGTTATGTATCAGATACTTCTCCCATTTAATTTCACATACTCTATCTCCTTTAATCCAAATATAGAGAATACATGTAAATCCACTCCATGTTATTGTAAATAATGTTGACAATGAACATAGAGATGCATATTTTATAATAGTAAGTTACAAACACAAAGTAAAAATAGGCAGACAGAAAGCTATGCATAAAGACTAAAGGGAAAGCAGTCTAGATAGTGATAATTTTTTTCTACCAACTAAATTTACTAGTAGGAGCATGTATCCTTCCCATAATGGGAGAAAAAATGAACTTTTAATGATTTTTAACATATATGACAGCCATGGAACAATTCTGTGCTAACTTTGGGGTACTTATGTGCAGCATATTGGACATTTAGTGAAAAGAGAGACCACTGTGAGATGATGAAGCTGGAGAAGGCTTCAAGAAGCAATGCAGGGCTCCCTGAGTACTTTAAAGGAAGGGAAAGTTTCTTTAAGAATGTGGAAGGAGGACAAGGAGGACGTTATAGAAAGAAAATAACTTGTACAACAGCAACAAGAACTGGTCCATTTATAAAACAGGAGCTTGCTCAGGTGGTGGCTATGAGGATTAAGTAAGTTGGTGCACCTGGCATCATGCCTGAATGAAAGGTGCTCAGGAAATATTAGCCATCATGATGATGGTGCTGGTGAGAATGGAGAAGAGGGATGAATTCAAGACACAGTCCAAAGGACTAAATGGTAAACTTGTTCACAGTCTGGTTCCTTGAATAGAAATAAAAGTGCCAAATAGGCCTTCATTGTTTCTCTCCCAAGAGAGCAGAAGGAGAGTGCCCGTGTCAGAAGGGGAACAGGCTGGGGAGCTGGGCAGCAGGGGTAGGTGATGAGACAAGTTTGGGACACTCAGAGTTAAAAGTTTGGGAGGTAAAGGAAGTGTGGCCAGTGAGGCGGAGAACACAGAGGTGGCATCAGAGAAACAAGAGAGGGAAGATTTTTCAGGGATGTCATCAACTCTTCAGCCAGCGGAATGCAGGCGGAGTTGAAGAAGTGGAAAGAGAAGTCCCTCAGTGCTATACTAATTGTGTCACCACTTGAAGCACCCTGCTTTCCCTATTCTTGCATCTAATTGCAGTACGCTACCATGAAACCAGTTCATTCTGTGCTCAATTTGCTGTTCTGCTTAAAGGGACTTAAACTTGATACCTGAAGGCCAGTTGCTACGGGCCATTACATTTATTTCCTTCCAGGCATTGTATGTAGATAAGCAATTAGATGAGGGAAAAGAAGTTGAGAGTCATTTATCATGGAGAAAAAAAAAAAAAACCATTCAACAAGGCTGTACAAGCAAACCTATTTAGATTGAAGAAAACATAACGTTTAATTCTCAGAAACAAATGCAAGCCTCGGTCCAAGTCTTCCTTCCCAAACCTTTGTCATTTAGGGATTGAGAAGCTGAGTTGGGTGAAAGGTTGAATAGAAAACAAAAAGGAAAGCTAGAAACACGCTGAGCTCATGGAGATGCAGCTTCTTCTGTAGCTCCTAAAGCCCAGCTGAGGTATCATCTAATGAGAATTCTCTCTATGCCAGGCACTGCGCTAAGCATTTCACATCATTAACCAATGTGAGTTTTAGGCAACCCCGAAGCAGGCAGTCTGTTCATCCCAATTGCAGCTGAGAAACAGGGTGAGTGAGGCCAAGCAGCTGGCCCAAGGTCCCCTGCCTGGTAAGTGGCACAGCCTGCAGCCCTGCCAGGTGGTCCTGCTAACCAAGCCGGCGCTTTTCTGTCACCATGCCGTATCGCCTCCCGTACTATCAAAATGTACTATCAAATTTACCTCAAAAGAAAACCCTCTGTCTTCTGAGAAGCTCCGGAAGGTCCAACACGTTGCCTGCCAACAAAAAAACATGAAGAGTTAAAAATTAGCTATCGTACGTAAATTATTAGCCATTTACATTGTATGTAAATTATGTTTCATTAAACTTTAAAAATTAGAAAAAGATTTTCTTCTGGTAGATTTCCTTAAAAAAGTGTTACCTTTAAGTTTTACACTTAAGTGACCCATGTTATCTGTTTTAATGAATAATTTTCCTAATAGAAAATTATTATGTGGAAAACTACGACGGTAGCGGGTGGCAATTTAGGATAAAAAGTGATCAAGTGAACTCAGGACAGCGAACTCTTTCTAACTGCGCACAAATATAACTGTCTATTCTCTTCCTGGTGGCATCAACTCAAAATTTCAGTTCATTCATTTATTCAGCAAATATTTATAAACCAAATGAACCATATGAAATCGCCATTCTTGTAGGTCAAAAATGGTCATATGTGGGTAATTCCAAATAGTTCAACCTAATATGAAGAACCCTCTGTGTGGTAGAATAGATAATATCATGGGAGCTGGGAATATAGTCTTGCATAAATGGACCAAGGTCCTGCCTTTATCTTGCTACATTCTGGTGGTCTAAGACATAAACAAGCAAAAAGATACATTAACAAAATTATCCCAAATTGTGATAAGAAATAAACAGGATAAAATAATTAATAACTTACTTGAGGTGAATTGAAAGCTACACTGAATAAAGAGATCAGAAAAAGTAAGGTGGATGGAACATCAGAGGAAGATCATTCCAGACAAGGGGAGAGGCAGGTTGAACGTCCATGAAGCAGATTGAAACTCCTTAGCAGGGCCCTGCTGAGTGAGGGGACTTGTTATTAGGGGAGTTCAGAGAAGTAAATGGAAGTGAGTTTTGTAGGGCTTCAAGGACCCTGACAAAGAGTTTGAATTTTATTCTAAGTTAGAAGAAAGTCACTGAAGGCTTTTTGCCTAAAGAGTTGACATGATTCAGTTAATGTATTAAAATATAACTTATGGTGATGGGTACAGTGGCTCAAACCTGTAATCCCTGCTAGTTGGGAGGTTGAGGCAGGAGGTTTGATCCCAGGAGTTCAAGGGCAACAGAAGGAGACCTTGTATCTTTTATATCTATATCTATATCCATCTATATCTTATGGGTAAAGGAAATATTCTATATTTTTATCATAGTGGTTACATGACTGAATATATTTGTCAAAACTCACTGGAATGTATACCTAAATATGTGAATTGCTGCATTTTACTCTATGCAAATTGTACCTCAAAAAACCTAACCAAAAACAAACAAATGAAAAGATAACTCTGAGCTGAAGCCATTAAAAATTATTTATCTGGAAGCTATTGGTATGTCTTGTTTGTTTGTTTCCTTTTGGTGGTATCATTTGTTGAACTCTGCCTGCTTAAACTCTGCACATGTATTTTTTTTTGTAAAATTAAAATTATATTTTATGAAAGATAACTCTGGCTACTGACTGGAGAGGAATTTATAAGACAGCAAGACTAGAGACTGGGAGACCATTTAGGAGACTATGGCAAGAAATGAGACTATGGCAAGAAATGAGACTATGGCAAGAAATAGTCGTGGTGGTGATAGTGGAACTGAGAAATGGGAATAACATTAAAAACATAATTTGGAAGTAGAACTGACAAGACTTACTGATGGGTTGGATGTGGGCAGAGGGGGTAAAGAAAAAGAAATCAAGGATGACTTTTGGGGTGGGGGTGTCCACATGGACAAGGCATGGTTGAAAAGAGGGAACAAACAGTTCAATGAAGGGTTTGTTTTGGACTTTAAAATATTTGAGGCGGCTATTTATTATTCATCCAAGTGGAGGAGTCAAGAAGGAAGTTGGACACAGAGGCCTGCAGTTGAAGGAAGAGATGAGGACTAAATCTGTATGTCATCAGTATACATACGATGTCTTAGTCACTTTGTGCTGCACAATATTACAGACTGGGTAATTTATAAATTATAGATATTTATTTCTCTCAGTTCTAAGGGCTGGGAAGTCCAAGATCAAGGCACCAGCAAGTTTGGTGTCTGATGAGGACCTGGCATCTTCTCACTGTAGCATCCTTACATGGGAGAAAGGAGAAGAACAAAAAGAGCTTAGCTAGTTCCCTCCATCCCTTTTATAAGGTTCTAATTCATTTATACAGGCAGATCCCTCACGACCTAATCACCTCCTAAAGGCCTTGCCTCTTGACAATGCTGCACTGGGGATTGAGTCTCAATATGAATTTTGAAGGGGACATATACATTCAAACCATTTCACATGGTATTTAAAGCCTTGGGCTGGATTGAGATAGAAGACCAAGGGTAAAGAAGAGGGCCCTATAGCACTACAAATTTGGAAGACTAGTAGGGAAGGAGGATCAGCCAAGCAGGGAGATCCACATTGTCTGTTCCAAGAGGTATATATATTTAACCCTTTGAGTGTTGAATCTGTGAATTAGTCAGTTTGGCTGCCATAACAAAACACCATAGACTGGGTGGCTTAAACAATAGATATTAATTTTTTCACAGCTCTGAAGAGGGAAGAGGAAGATCAGGGTGCCAGCGTGGTTGGCTTCTAGTGAGTGCACTCTGTGCCTTGCAGATAGCTGCCTTCTCACTGCACGCTCATGTGGCCTTTCCTCGGTGCTTGCCATAGAGAGAGCTCTCTCTCTCTCTCCGTCTTTTTATGAGGCTACAGTCCTATAGAATTAGGGTGCCACCCTTATGACTCCTGTAGCCTTAGTTATCTGCCAAGGACCCTATCTTCAGATACAATCACACTGAGGATTAGGGCTTCAACGTATGAGTTTGTCAGGGGAGGACACAATTCAGTTCACAGTAACCTGCAAGGAGACATATCAGGGGCACATTCTTGTCACACGGCCAAACTTCCATTGCAAAATGACTACATTACAATGGATCTTTATATGAGTGTCTAGCACATTGTTGCAATTATTTGATGAACTATCATTTTGAATTTGTTCAGCTGCACTTGTGGAGGAGGAGGGGTAGGAGATGAAAAAGAAGAAGAAGATGATCATCGATTATGTACTCACTCTGTATCAAGCACTGTTCTAAGTACTTTTGCATGCATCACTACTTCGTCCAGTTTTTATGATAACCCTTTGAGGTAGATATTTTGTTTTACAGATGAGGAAACAGAGGCCCCAAGAAGTTAAATAACTTGCTTAAGATCACAGAGCTAATGAGTGGCAGAACAATTATTCTAGCTCTGATTTTAAGGGATTTACTTAACTTTTACTTGGAATTCATGGAGTCATTGGGCTTTATTTAATAAGTATCTCATCATATTCTAGTTATATCATCTCCTATAAGTGTTCAAAATTTGATAAAATTCAGATCAAAGGTGTTTTGGGGGCATTTTGGTGTCAGAAGCCATGAGGCCATTAAAACTCATGAGGGCTGCTTTAGTTTCCTAGGGCTGCCATAATAAAGTAGCACAAACTAGAAAGCTGTACATCTGAAATCAAGGTGTAAGCAGAGCCGTGTTTCCTCTGAAACCTGTAGGGGAATCCTTCCTCTCTTCTTAGCTTCTGGTGGTTTTATAGCAAGCTTTGACACGTAGTGAAATCTGACACAAATTAAGTACATAAGAAGCTGTTCCTTGGTTTTCAGCTGCATAACTCCAGTCTCTGTCTTCATCATTGCATGGTCTTCTCCTTGTGTGTTTCTGTCTTCACATGGCCATCTTCTAATAAGGCCACCAGTCATATTGGATCAGAGGCCTACCCTACTCCAGTATGACCTCATTTTTATTTAACTAATTATATCTGCAATGATCCTATTTCCAAATAAGGTCACATTCTGAGATACTGGGGGTTAGGAAGATATGTTGAAGAGCATGTCTTTTTTTTTGGTGGGGGTTGGGGAGGATACAATTCAACCCAGAATTCCAGACAGGGGCTTTGTGGATAGAGTTTATAATCTTAAGGAAGCACATCCCTTATTTCATCTCCCCTTTTCCCAATCCTAACATCCACAGAAAATTTCCTGCCAGCAGTTCCTTCCTTGGGTTTAAGGATTCCCCAATGCCAGATGTTAAGTCTGCTAGGAAATCTGTAGACCACAGGGAAGAAAATGCAAAAAGAAAATAAAGTCCTCAAATGCAGCTAAAAATTGCTAGCTTCTATTTTTAAAATAAAGCAACATAATACTTTTTCTTCCAATTTATCTACCTTCAAAAGTCCCAACAAATGTTGTTCGTAGTACTGAAATCTATCATTTCCCTTTATTTTTTCCATTCTTCAAATTGAGCTATTAAGTCAAATGCTAATTACATGAAACATTGTTCTCTGTTAATAAATGTTTTGAGAAGTTCTGCCGCCTCAAATAAACAAATAAAACATTAAGTCAGTGTGGCATTTCAGTTGAATAGGGAAAAACTAGATTACTTAATAAATGGTACAGCAATATTTGGCTAACCATTTGGGAAAAAATAAAATTAGATGCCTACTTCACAAATTAAATTTCAGATTTGTTAAAGATTTATATATAATTAAATTAAAGACAGATCCTTAAAATTCAATAAAATTTAAAAAATTGCAAAATAAAATATGTGGCTATTTAGTGTATTTGGGTATTGGGAAGTCTTTTGACTAGTTATAAACACTAAGATATAATTTACAAAGAGATAAATCAACTTACAAAAAACTTAAAACTTCATGTATATATAGAAAGCAGCACTATAACATGGAAAAAGGAAAGATGCATACAGTATATGACAAATAATATGTTTATATTATGCATATAAAAACACTTACAAATAATTTGCAAATTAATGTTCCAATAGAAAAATGAGAAATAATTTTAAAAGGCAATTCACAAAAGAAGAAATACAAATAACCATTAAACATATGAAAAGATGTTTCTTTTTACTTAAAAAACAAATAGGATCTTTCAGGCCTCTTTCAGTTCTAACACACTGTGATTCTGAATACAAAGGTTTCAGTTGGAACATTTTTGCATAGATTTGCCCTTGAACTGAACCTCCAGTGCAAAATACTTTAATTGCTAACATAAAGTTTCATAAAAGCACATAAATCTCATTTATTATAGTTCTAATATGAAAATCTGGATCTCTTTAGAACCAGCTTTATTAGGATCTCTTGGCTGCATATGTCAGAATCTCAACTCAAACTCTCTTATGAAAAAAATTCAGCAGATGTCTACCACCTCCACACATTCCTACATCCTTAATCTCCCTGTGTTTTAAAACTCTAAATGAGTTCTCTTAGAAATATAAAGGCAAAGACACCTCATTCTTCTCTCTTGCTGAGTGGAGAAGAATTAAATTCTCATACTTATAAGTCGAACAGCTTTAAGTAGAATAGACATGGAGGGCCAGCTAACCTCTCCAGCGACTTCCTAGTAATTTAACTTTTCAGTTCCAGAAGTTTCTAGAAGAAAACCCCATTCCTGGCTTAACTCAGCCTATAACCTGAGCCTCTAGTTGCATCTCACTGAAGCACCATAAGAATAGCAACCATGTGTTTAGAACAGCAACCATACGACAGCAACCATGTGTCATGGCTTATTCTCATCAAGCCTCCAGGTTGTAGGGAGCTTCGGTGATTATATTTTTGTTTAACAGCCCTCTCACCCACCCTCCTCTTGGGTTCCTTGGGTAATCACTCCCTCTCTTTCCATGTGGTCCAGGCAAACCTGTCAATCACAACATCTTCACCACCTTCCCCTTGCCAAAGGCTTACAACCCAAGCCAGTCAATCAGAATGTTCCTAGGGTTGGATTAATTGTTGTTAGGAGAAATGCACTTTTTGCCATGGAGCAGGCAAACTCAGGATGAGAAGCTGGGCTACTGGTGGCCAAAGAAAGTGATTTCTCACAGGAGAAGTTGAGGAAAGAAACAGGGAGGCAGGGCCAGAGATGATGAGGGAGACAGAGAACTCCGTAAACAGGAGTACCGAAGTTTGTTGTAGCCCCGGACTTCCCAGATGTGTAAGACAATAAATTCTCTTTTTGCTTACTAGCTTGAATTGGGTTTCTGTCATTTAAAACCTAATGGCTCCAACTTGTGGGCACTTCTGACTTACAGGGCAGCTCCCACAGACCTCAGTAGCTTTACCAGTCTTCCTTGTCTTGTGAGCTACCATCTTCTACTCTTTTGGGAGTGTGCGTGCATGCTTAGGATTATCAAATGATTTCAATGACAACAAAGAACTGATTGTGGTTTTGTTCTTCCAAAAATTCATCTTTCACTTCCAAAGAAGTGAGATTTTACACACACACACACACACGCACACACGCACACACACACTGCATTTCTGTTGGGTCCACTGATTCATGAATTTACCCTGACACTAAACATTCCTTTCCATTCTAGTTTTCAATACAGAGCCAGTTTCAGCAAGCTTAGAATAGCAGGTTCTTTGCTGAAAAAAATATTTTGTTTCAGGCAAGTTCTGTCAGTTGATGATTGCTATATTACAAATTACCCCCAAGCTTACCAATTTTTTTTTTTTTTTTGAGACGGAGTCTCACTCTGTCACCCAGGCTGGAGCACAGTGGTGTGATCTCGGCTCACTGCAAGCTCCGCCTCCCGGGTTCACACCATTCTCCTGCCTCAGCCTCCCGAGTAGCTGGGACTACAGGTGCCCACCACCACGCCCAGCTAATTTTTTGTATTTTTAGTAGAGATGGGGTTTCACCATGTTATCCAGGATGGTCTCGATCTCCTGACCTCGTGATCCACCCGCCTTGGCCTCCCAAAGTGCTGGGATTACAGGCGTGAGCCACCGCGCCCAGCCAAGCTTACCAATTTTTTTAAAAAACAAATGTCATCTCACAGTTTCTGTGAGTCAGGAGTCCAGGAGCTTCTTAACTGGGTGGTTCTGCCTCAGAATCTCTCACAAGACTTCAGTCAAGGTGTTTGCCAGGGCTGTATTCATCTGCAGCCTCAACTGGGGAAGGATTTGCTTCTGCACTCACTGCCACGGCTGCCAGCAGTCCTCAGTTCCTCACTACGTGGGCCTCTCCACAGGCTGCCTCACAGCATGGCAGCTGGCTTCTCCGAGTGAGGAGTTTAAGAGTGAAAAAGTGAGCACGCACCTCCCAAGACAGAAGCCACAGTCTTTCAATAATCTAATCTCAAAAGTGACATTTCATCCTTTCTGCCAGATCTATCTGAGTCCTTATGTCCAGCCCACACTAAGAAAAGGGGAATGTAGCTCCATCTCTTTGGGAGAGAAGCATCAAATAACTTGTGAATATTATCTTTAAAAATCACCTTACAAGTGGTGGCGCTCGCTTCTCCAAAGAGAATCTGAGTTCTTTCTAAAATACCAATCCTTTGTTAAAATGAGATGGAGAGTAGATGAGGGAATGCAGCGGCAATAGGGAAGACAACTATTCCAGGTAGAAGAGAAATGCTGTATCATCCACACACATTCCTCAACATACCTAAAGCTACCTTTAATGGTTTTAAGTAAGAAAATGGCTGAGGGATTTAAAAATCTTTAATGGGAATTAGAAAGCCCCTAGCAATACAACTCAGTAAACTGGCATTAAGATACAGCCATGCGATTATCGTGGATGGGAAAACGGCAAGATTGTAACAATCTGCAAGCATGTTGATTGATCAGAGTTGCAAAGTACTATGAGCTGGCCGATGGCATACACAAAGTGCAGAGGAGCTCTCAACTCTGTAAGAAGAACAATGCCGGAGGAGTAGAATAGCTATCCTTAGCCCAGGTGCTCACTGCCCCTGTCACGTATGCTCATGCCACACCTGAGATACCAGGAGGGCAGCGTCTTGTCCTATGTCCTCCCATTACTTTCATTCCCAAAGTATTTCTGCCTATAGAGCTCTTCCGGCCTCTAAACTCCTTCCAGCTGTGTCCAACCTTTTCAATGCAAGGACTATTTTGCTTATCTGTGGTGGTGGATGTCATGAAAACTATGCATGGACCTTTTTTTTTTTTTTTTTTTTTTTTAGGTCATCAGCTATTGTTAGTGTTAGTGTATTTTATGTGTGGCCCAAGACAATTCTTCTCCCAATGTGGCCCAGTGCAGCCAAAAGGTTGGACACGCCTGCAATACTTAGTAATGTATATCATTCATGTGGTGATAAATATCTTCAGACGAAGAATAATTCTTTTTTTAAAATTTAAAATCACAATTATTTGATGTTTTTCATTTGTGAATGCCTTTTACATGTAGTCCCTACATTTAGGTGCTTTGGATGCATGACTTTTCACTAGACCAGTGGTTCTCAACCTTGGCTGCACATTAGAATCACCTGGAAGTTTCTTTCCATTCCAAGATTCAACACAGAAATTAACAGAATACTGAATCAATTTCAATGAACTAAGAGTGACAATTTTTACTAAAAAATATTTACTTAGCAAGAAGCCAAGATTGACTGTTGTTTTAGAGTCTTTCTACTCGAAGTGTGGCCTATGGACCAACAGCATTCTTATCAGATGATAAGTGAGCTGGGAGCTTGTGAGAAATGCAGAATCCCAGGCCCCACATCCAAATTATAATTTGCATTTTAACAAGATTCCTGGGTGATTCATACGCCCATTAAAATTTGAGAAGCACTCATTTAGACTTTCCCATTACCCTTCTCTTTATCACTCTGAATATTCTCCAACTTCCTATCTAGTGACCACAGAGGGTACTGACAGATTACAGCTTCAAAGCATAACCAGGATCAATAGAATACATTCATTCTTTCATTCCAGAAAAATCTATTTAGATGTAGGGCCAGTGCCTATGCTTGTGCAGACTGTGCACCACATCTGGGAAGTACTATTCACAATGTAGAAATTTTACATTTGGATTTTATTGCTACACCATTTTCTAGCAGACGGCAGTACAGTGTCTTGCAACAAAATCAATACACATAAGCTTTGGCTGAATGGAAGTTAAGTGCTTGAGGAAGGAATGTCTTTTTTCTATTCAATGGCCTATAGGCTAGATGTCACCTTAATGGGAGCCAGGACCTGGCAACACAGCAGCAAACCAGAGAGGCCAAATTATTAACTATTTCCCATTTAATACAATTTGTTTATTAGTTTTTATGCAAAATTATGGTATGGTAGTTTTAAAAAATTCAATGTATGTGGCATATTTTCCTTCCATTGCATACGATATAGCCTACAATTTTAATGTTTAATATACAAAACACAGCTTGTGTTTTTTTCCCTTCACAAAGTTTATAACAAATCTTGGAGCGCAATCTGTAATTACAATACATCGTATGCAGAAATTCCAGCCACTTTCGAGCTTTATACTTTATGGTGTAGTTTCCAAGTACACGTTATAGCAGAAGTGAAAGAAAAACTCTATTTTTCTGAATATTCTATAATTCCTGTCATCAAGTGCCTTGGATGTGGACATTAGAGATCAGTCAATATTTGTTTTAAAACAGTATTTTCAACTTCTTTTATATACTTTTCTGTCTTTCTCTCTCTCTCTCTTTCTTTTTTTCCCTAATGGAATGCTCTGTCCTGCTTGCAAGTTTTGGTGCAGAGAAGCCAACAAAGATTTATAAATAGGGATGCTCATGACATCATGATTTACGACAGGTAAAAACAGGAAGCATTTTAGATTTCAAACAAAAGGTAGTTATCAAATATATCACTACACATCCAAGTAACTAAATAGCACATTTATTAAAAACTATGAGTCTAAAGAATAATTAATATCATAGGGAAAACATTTATGTAAAATGTTAAGCAAAAAGTTTTAAGAGGTTAAAAGGAAAAAAAAAATCAGGGTGCAAAACCACATACATAGTGTAATCTGAATGTCCCTGGCTCCTTGCTACTTAGCTGGTCTACGGACTAGCATCATAGCATCACCAGGAGCTTGTTGGAAATGCAAGATTTTAGGCTCCACCCTAAAACCCACTGAATCGGAATCTTCAGGTGATTCTTAGGCACTCGAAAGTCTGAGAAGTATCACCCAGGCCGTATCAACTTTGGGGAACAGTGGTCAGTTTACTTCTACAATTTGAACCAAAGTTCATTAGCTCATTAGCACCGACCTACCTAATGCAGGACCACAGTCCCCCTCCAAGACACATCCAGTGTCTTAGGCAGGTATCTATAAGTATAAATTCAGGCACTGGGGTGGTGGCCTTACCTGTCCCTCAAAATCCCCAAGGGGGAAATGCTGTTTGATACAAATGATTATTTGAAAATTATGTCAAAGAAAGGGGAATCTATTTCTTTTGCCCTGGCAATCCCTCATTAAATATGCCTTTTATGTCATCTCTGCCCATTCGTTTTCCTTTCGGCTTCCTCCTATCCCTCACACATGCCTCTCCTCTCTTACCTGAGAATCCTGAGAGAGTCAAGGAGGAAACCTGGTGTTCCAGAGTTAGGAGAAACGACTGTGCCCTCATGTACCATGATGGATACTATCACAGAAAGCAACATGCATGCTCTCCCACCATCCACACTGGGACGTGAGCATCACTATCCCTTTATCATCCCAATGGCCACTTTGCTGCAGCACCAACCTTGCTGATGTGACCCATTCTGGTCCACTGCTGGTTAAAAACTCCCCTCTGACCACTGCCCACATGGTTGGATCAGTCCACCGTGGACCCAAGATGTGACTCTCACTGCTTTACACTGCCATGTGGGACTCTATAAGGTCACTACTCTCTTGATAGGCATGTGGGATCTGCAGTGTGGGATCCCCCATGCCTACCGAGAAGGAGAAATGGGGGAGCATATAGGTTTAAGTAGAAATTAGACAAGGGATTGGGACTAGAGAACATTTCTCCTGAGAGTTTTCAAGGAAAAAGACTTGCCTGGTTATGTTCAAGCATAAAGTATATAATACAATACAAAACAGAGTAATAGGTGTTAGGAAACGTAGTGTCTTGTCTTGGTTCTTTGTGTGACCTTGGGAAAGTCATTTTCAGATGCTTATTTTTCCCCTTTTGGAATGCTGGGTAAAAATAATTGCACAGTCCATCTCCCAATTCTGGTTAAGTTCAAATGAGATGATGTTTGGAAATGAGCTTTGAAATCCCTTAGGTGTAGCATTAGCACCAATAATATGCAGCACCATGGTAAGAAAAAAAGACAGTCTGTTCTTTAAATTGGCCTCAGAAAAATTCACACCTGGATATCTGGTGGAACCTGCAAATTGGTGTTGTATATTTTAAAGTCAAGAGTAACCTTGGAGACTGGTCTAGATTGAAAATCAACAGTACATTGGAGAGTGATACACAGCTCCTAGCTGGTAGGGGAAATTGAGGGCATCCAGAGTGAATAAAGTATTTATTGCGGTGGAGTGAGCAGGGGGGAGTAGCATTATGTTCTAAAAACATTCAATAAAAGAATAGCCACCTTCCGTTTTCTCAAACATCTATGCAGGTGCTTAGATCCCAAATATGGAAGATTTTGCATTTCACAAGGTATCTTTCATTCTACATAGATTTGTAGCAAAATAAAAATCATTATACATTTTAATGGCTTTGTTGATTTGGTTAAATTAGCTGAAGGCATTGTTGACTGCACATAAAATCCATTTCTCAAAGTTCTTTAGCTTTTTGACCCTTTCATCAATTCTTCTTCAGTTCTGTCATCATTCTTTCCCTCCTCTTTCAATTTCCTATCTAAAATGTTCCAAAATAATTATAAAAGTCAGAGAGGCATGATGAACCTTTTTATTGGAAAGAGATGAACCTTCCAAACTCATTCTCAGCTCATCATCACAGCATTTGGAATATGGAGTAAAAATTCATATTTTGCAAGTGCCTTGGTGCTTAAGCATGCAGAACAGATGTTTCATTTCACAAGTTTTCCCAATTTATTACACATAATATCTCTATTTCTGTGAGACAAACACTGCTTTGGGGAATAGGCCTTTCCATTTCCTCCAGCAAGCTGATGCATGGAAATGGACTGTTGAGTCACCTTCTAGTCACCTCAGGAGAGGAGATTTTTCAAATGCTGTTTGTTTATTTTCATGCAAGGTCATCAAGGGGAAATAGTCACAGTCCCATACTCCTTACCAAAGGCCATCACTTCTGCACATGGCATTTCTCTACCTGAAATGCATTCAATTAAATGCACTCATCCTTGCTAGGCCTGGCTTGATTTCACATCTGTGACAGATTCCTTGATGAACTCGACACCGAGTGGTTTCTTCCAATAGCTAAATAATACCTGATGATGACATTATTTTCATCATTACCATTAGCAACTTAGGAGGGAGAAAGGTGGTGTTGGGCAGGGAAGTCACACTAACCTCACCTTTCCCTGTTGCACTGTAAATTCCGAGGGCAGGGGTGGCTTGCACAGTGCCTTTCATATGATTGGTGTTTTAAAAACGTTGCTTGGTTGATTACATAGGATAGTATTGCTGCTTTGGTAGCCTAACTTTGCTCCTACACTACGGCCAGAAGAGAGGGTGAAGAAGAAATAAGAAAATAAAAATCAATCCTAAAGAAAGTGGTAAGGAGCAAAATAGGAGTTACTGGGGAAGCACAAAAACCTGAAGCAGATAACCCTCAGGCGTGAAGGTCTATTTCTCTCCTGGTTTACACACGCACCCACCTCCGTTTCTCTCCTACTTCTCCGCCACCCCACCTCAACCAGGAGGCAATTCCCCAACCAACCCTGAATATGTCTTCTAATTTCATGTACTCAATAATACCCAAACCATTTAATCTCAGTCACTGCTGGTGGGAGCGGCAATTGACACGACCTTGAAGGGAAAGCAACTTGGCGGCAGATATCAAGAGTTCTAAAAAACATTTATACTCATCTTCTCCATAATTCCACTTCTGAGCTGTATCCTAATTTTTAAAATCTTAAATATGTACAAAGATTTATGCCCCCAGAGTTTCCAATACAGGTTTATTTATACAGAGATAGGAACAGTGCAGCAGTCTAGCATCAGAAGGAGTGGCTAAATTATGGGATGAGTCTCTCACTGGAATTTTTCTAAAGTTATTTTAAATTATGTCTTAAAGGCATTTAAAGCTTATTTTATTTTTAAATGTTTTTAAATTAGCATGCAATAAAACTGACTTTTGTCTACACAGTTCTATGAATTTCAGCACTCACATAGGGTCAGGACCGAGTTTCCTCTCACAAGACTCCTAGCCCCACCTTGAAATCACCGGACGCACTTCGTTGTCCAGGAGCCTTCTCCAAGCGGCGGGACGTCTCGGGAGGTTGGGTGGCCCGGTCAGTCCGCGGCACACAAAGACCTCTAGGGGGCAGTGTTGTCTCACACCACATGTTCCTCTACCGGGCTTTAACACACACCCTTAAACTCTAACCCAGCCAAAGCACTATTGCGTCTGTATTTTCCAAATACTTTACAATGAGTATGCACTACTATTACAATCAGAAAAAAAAAATTAGATTACTAATAAGCTATTGAAAGTGGGGGAGATATCAATATAAAAATACCCACTCATGGAAGACATTGCTTAAAATAGAGAACTAGCCTCTGTTCATAGTCTGGTTTCAAAGCCCAAAGTTACGTTTCCTTTTGTTAGATTGCTAGATGATATGGCTCTGGACTTTAATTCTCCATGTTTAAAATAGCATTTCTGTATTTAAAATAGCATTTCAATAGCACTTTTAAAACTTCTAAAATCATTTCTGTAATACTCTTTTTTCAGTGAGAAATAGAACAATGCTTCTTCCCTCTCTATTGTAGAGATAGCAAAGTGCTAAAGAGATGAATTTGTGTTAGAACATCTATATATTAATTCAGAATATTCTAATAAGCAAAAGGATATTGCTAACAATTTGTATGCAGCAAGGCATAAGTTTTGGAGTCTTTTCAATTTAGCTATTCCACTTATGCTAGTTCACCCACTCCCTTCCTGTGACGGGTTCCCTAGTGATGAATGGGGCATGTAGATTATCAGATGAGTGGACAGGAAGGAAGACAGTCTAGAGTGGAAGATAAAGATAACCAACCCATGATGGAACCAACTCAGAAATCAACCCCACCAAGAGAAAACTTTATTCATGCACTGAATATTTATGGAACACCTTTCACTTGCCAAGCACTGTTCCAGGTGCTGGGGATATAGCAGAAAACTGCACGTCAAAATTGCTGCTCTCATAAAGTTCACATTCTGGGACTCTAACCCAGCCAAAGCACTATTGCGTCTGTATTTTCCAAATACTTTACAATGAGTATGCACTACTATTACAATCAGAAAAAAATATTAGATTACTAACAAGCTATTGAAAGTGTCTCCCACTGGGTGGGAGACAGCTAGGAAAAAGAAATAAAGAGGAAAAATATCCTCTTGAAAGTTAAAATAGGATAGAGACGGATTGGTGGGGGCTACTTTAGACTGCGGAGTCACAGAGGACCTCTTTGAGGAAGTGGTAATTTAAGATGAGATCAGAATAACATATCCAGCCTTGAGAAGACAAGGGGGTGGAGGGAGTGTTCCAGGGAAAGGAAACACCTTATACAAAGGCTGGAACAAATTGAATGGGTTCAGAAAACAAAAGGAAGGCCCAGAGTGACTGGAGCGTGGCATTTAGGGATGAAGGTGAAGTCAGAAAAGTATGTAAGAGTCTGGTCAAGTAACAGTCTCGTAGGCCAAGGTAAGGAATTTGGGTTTTATTTTACTGCAGTGAGAGATATAGGAGATTTCACACAGAGGCGTGAAATGGTCTGATATAGGTTTCTAAGAACCATTCTGACGGCCATTAGAAAGTGCAAGTTTGGGAATATGGCGATCACTGAGAAAGCTATGGGACCGTGCATGGTAGATCATGCCTGTAATCTCAGCACTTCGGAAGGCCAAGGCAGGAGGATTGCTTGAGGCCAGGAGTTCAAGACCAGCCTGGGCAACACAGTGAGACCTCATCGCTACAAAAAATAAAAACATAAGCCAAGTGTGGTGGCATGTGCCTGTAGTCCCAGCTACTCAGGAGGTTAAGGCAGGAGGATTGCTTGAGCCCAGGAGTTCAAGACTGCAGTGAGCTATGATTGCACCACTGCACTCCAGCCAGAGCAGCAGAGTGAGACCATGTCTCATATAAAATAAAATAATAAAATTCAAATAATAAAATAAAACAGAAAGCTATCACAATAACTGAGGTCAGGTGTGATGAAGTGTGGACCAGGATTATGGCAGTAGAGATGGAAGGTAGCTCACAGAGTCATGACATCTTTTGGAGAAGGAGCTGTTGGAATTAGCTGTATTATTAGATGTACATGGTTGGGGGGAGACGAATCAAAGCACGATTCCTAGCTTTTTAGTTTGAACAACTGAAAGGATGGTAGCTCCATTTCCGGAGATGAGAGGACTGAGGAGATCATGATCCGGGGGGATTATTTGGTCTTTAACATGTGAGCCCATTGGACGAGCATTTGGGTAACTTCAGTCTTACTCCTCAGCAGCTGCTGTTGGCAGGGTGTGGTCAGGTAGGCTGGCACTGTGTCTGAGCAAGCCAGCTCTGGTCTGATAACAGAGTTTTATCTGGAAGGGGAAACCCAGGGCTGGGCTTATGTTCTAAGGTCAGCAGCCTGTCACACCAAGAAATAAATGTCTGTTAAGGCAATTGGTACATAAGCACTCAGAAAGTGTAGCTTGTCAAAGTGGCTTAATTCCAACTAGGTTGTTATTACTCAGTTGACACCTCTTGGGAGAGTTTTTTGATATTTTCTTTAACTCTTTAGTGTTATACTTTATGTATATTCACATGAATTGAAAACAGGTTCAGTTAAAAGGGTAATTAAAAATATAAAACATTTTTTAAAAAAGAAAACAGGGCCAGGCACGGTGGCTCACGCCTGTAATCCCAGCACTTTGGGAGGCCGAGGTGGGCACATCATGAGGTCAGGAGATCGAGACCATCCTGGCTAACACGGTGAAACCTCGTCTCTACTAAAAAATACAAAAAATTAGCTAGGCGTGGTGGTGGGTGCCTATAGTTGCAGCTACTCAGGAGGCTGAGGCAGGAGAATGGCATGAACCCAGGAGGAGGAAGGAGCTTGCAGTGAGCCGAGATGGCGCCACTGCACTCCAGCCTGGGCGACAGAGTGAGACACTGTCTCAAAAAAAAAAAAAAAAGAAAAAAAAAGAAAACAGGTACATGATGTAGACTCTACATTTTAATGTAATGTTTCATTAATTGTAATGAAACATTACAATGTTTCAACATCCTTGAAATTTAAATAAGGGAAGCTTTGGGTTTCCATAAAGAGAACACTTATACTTAAACACAAGAAGGCTGAGACAAAGGTTAAAAAATGGTAAAGCTGTAAAGGGCTGTTAAAAGCATAATGCTGTATTTTTCATCCCCCAAATCTTAAAATGTAAAAAAATGGCTTTAGCTTTTGACTCCAAAGCTGGAGATTAATTTTTTAATTTTTAATTTTTGTGGGTACATAGTAGATGTATATATTTATGGGGTACATGTAATATTTTGATACAGGCATGTAATGCATAATAATCTCATCAGGGTAAAAGGGGTATCCATCACCTCAAGCATTTATTTTTTGTGTTACAAACAACCCAAGTATACTCTTTTAATTATTTAAAAATGTACAATAAAATTATTTTTGACTATAGTCACTCTGTTGTGCTAGCAAATACTATATCTTATTCATCCTTTCTAACTATTGTTTGTACTCATCAACCACACCCACGTACCCCCGACTCTTCTCCTACTCTTCCTAGCCTCTGGTAACCATCCTTCTAACTCTCTATCTCTATGAGTTCAATTGTTTTAATTTTTAGCTCCCACAGATAAGTGAGAACATGCGACGTTTGTCTTTCTGTGTCTGGTTTAGTTCACTTAACATAATCATCTCCAGTTCCATCCATGTTGTTGCAAATGATAGGATCTCATTCTTTTTTATGGCTGAATAGTACTCCACTGTGTATTTACAACCTTTCCTTTGTCCATTTATCTGTTGATGGACTCCTAGGTTGCTTCCAAATCTTGGCTATTGTGAATAGTGCTGCAATAAACATGGGCGTGCAAAACTGGAGAATTTTGAAGTAATACATTTACTCCTACAGAGATCCTGAATAATCATAGTTCTTGATTACACCCACCTCCTCTTCATTATTTTAAGCATTTTTGTTAATTACTAAGTTGATCCTTCTAGTAAAAAGGCTGCCACAACTTCGTTTCCTTTGGAGGACTGAGACCTTCCCACCTTAGCAAGAGCTTTCCATGTTGAGGTTTGCAGTGAGAGTCACATTACCCAGAGAACTGAGGGGACTGCAGTTATGCCCTTGCAGATACGGGAACACGAGGGCTGAATTAATGAGCCAGAGCCTTAGACAATACTGCCAAAAAGTCCCAAGTTCCCCCGAGCAAATACCCAGGAAGGATTTGTCTGGATATCACCTTCACCTCCTACTTAGAACAGGGTTGCCCTGAAAGTCCCTCCACCCATCGCAGGAGAAGACCTTGGAGAGTGGCTAGCAGAATTCAGGCAAATTCTTTGTTTCTGCATTCTATTTGAGCAGCCTGGGCACAGGCCAAGGAAAACTCTCTTGGAGAATAGACATTACCTGTGGAGAATGATTTGAGAAACTCTGATCCAGGAATATCCAACACTACAGTGGCCTCCTGGGGTCCCTACTAACCGGTCCCCTATTAATCTCCCTGCCCTGATTTCCTACCATCCTCTCCCTCACTCACTCTGCTCCAGCCACTCTGGCCTTCCTCAAAAACAGACAGACTTCTACCTTGAGGCTTTTACATTTGCCTAGAACACTCTCTAGCTTGCTCTTTTACCTGCGTCATGTCTTGGCTTTCATGCCACTGTTTGAACAAGGCCCACCCTTATTAACCCCAATCAATATTGCAAACTTCCCCTTCACCACTCACCCTCACCACCCTCATTATTCAGCTCTTTTTTTAAAAAGGTACCTATTATGTTCTAATACATATCACTGGGGTATGTTTTATATTTACTGTATATTGTCTATCTCCTCCCACTAGAACACAGCTCCACAAAGGGTGAAATGTTTGCCTGTTTCTTGGTTGACTGCTGTTACCCCTGGGCCTGCATCAGCACCTGGCGTATAGTAGACTCTCAAGAACAGCTGTCGATTAAATGACTGAATATAGCACATCTGGGAAAACAAAGGCTTGATTTGGTCCCTGTTTTCAACACTAGCTCTCCCTCCCCCAGGACTGGTCCTCTCCTAGCACTGCCAGCCTGTGCCAGTCCTTAGTGGGACATGACCTGCCCTTGCCCACACACCTACTCGATCCTCACTCAGTAGTCAGCATCCATATCCCACTGTGACTGACCCAGGCACACAGTGCCAGCAGCTCGTCCAAACTGGAAACTCTTCAAGTCTCAAAGTCTTTTCTCAGTCTATTACTTGTCCCTGCATTCTCTCTTCTGTCCCCCTCACTGTAGACCTTCAGACACTCACCAATTTCCTGTTCCCTCTCTCAGTCCCTGGGAAGACTGGCAGTGGGGTAGGACGTCAATCTCCCCAGCTGCTCTTCCAGGCTCCCCTGCCAGAGGAGGCCTTTGGTCTGTGATTTTTCTGCCAATTATTAGAAAGAAATAGGCCTGGGATAATAAAAACAACCAAGGAGGAATTTAAAAGGTTATGAAATCTTTTAAAATTCTGTTTTCTCAATTGTATTTTCTCATTTGTACTTCTCGGCTCTCTTTTGAGACGTTTACATAGAATCATCATCTTTCCTTATATACTCCCTTTTGGAGGAAAAAGTATTTTCAGAGTTTCTCAATTATGTCAAATAACAGAAAACATTTATTGAACAATTACTATGTGCTCAGCACCATAATGCATTTCTATGAAAATGAGCTCATTTAATCCTCACAACCTCTCGGTGAAGTGGATGCTGTCAATCTTCCCATTTCATGGAGGAAAACTGAGGCCCAGAGAAGTTATATGACTCCCGAGTTTACACAGCTACCTAGTGGAGGACTCTAAGTTACAACTTATCTAATTTGAGAGTTCAAATTTTCAACTGCTATAAAATATCTCCGATACATGAGAGAAGCTGGAAAGTGAGATCATAACCACCAGAAAAATACTACTTGTTAGTGACTCAGAAGAACTACCACTGGTGTGAGTAGAATTACAACACTGGCAACCCAAAAGAGATACGCATGTCATGTTGTCTGATTTTGGAGACATTCTTTATTTTCAGTGGCAGGTGCCATACATTTATTCATTGAGCAAATGTTTTACTGAGTACCTTTAATGTGACAAAAAGCCTGGCCACTGCAGAAACGGGTGAGCAAAAGCAAACACAGCCCTTGCATTCATACAACATATATTTCCTCTTGAAATCAAGTTCCTGGCACTAGGTATCAATAGACTTGAAAATATGTATAACCAGCTAGGTGCAGTGGCTCACGCTTGTAATCCCAGCACTTTGGGAGGCCAAGGCAGGCAGATCTCTTGAGGTCAGGAGTTTGAGAGACCAGCCTGGCCAACATGGTGAAACTGTGTCTCTACTAAAAATACAAAAATTAGCCAGGCGAGGTGGCGTGTGCGTGTAATTCCAGTTACTTGGGAGGCTGAAACATGAGAATTGCTTGAACCAGAAAGGCAGAGGTTTCAGTGAACCAAGATCATGCCACTGCATTCCAGTCTGGGTGACAGGGAGACTCCATCTCAAACAAACAAATGAACAAAAAAAAAAACCAAGAAAATATATTTAGCCTATAACCAAGAATCTCATTTCTAGAAATAAAAATAATCTGAAACACAAATTAATTATACATATTTATCAGAGCATTATTTGTAATAGCGACAAATTAGAAACAACTCATGTCCAACCAGTCCAACTCAATGATTACCAGTAGGTAAATCATTAGGTAAGTTGTGGTACATCCACATATTGAAATAGTCATTCATAATAATGTTTTCAAAAAGTTTTAATATTATGAACAAATGCTTAAATTATAATGTTAAAAATGAGAAAAGTAAGCTATAAAACAATCTGTTTAGTATGCTTTTTGGTACATAAAATAATATATATGACATTATTTGGATATGTTCGAGTAAGCTATATGATATTAACATTTTTATAGGTCAAGAGGATCAAATATCAACAATTTCATAATGGAAAAAATCTGAAAACAAAAAAGCCAAAATATTAATGGTGATGATTTCTTGGTGGTGGTATCATCAGCAATTTTCACTCTTTTCCTTCTATTTTTGGCATTTTCCAGTTTTCAACAATGTACATATATTTCTAATAAAAACATTATTGCAAAACAAAAAGAGAACAAATGTTCCTCTTTCAGCTACTTTACTAAATCATAATGCTAAATGCAGTCTGACTGAGTACCTATAATCCATCATGCCAGTAACTGCAGCAAATGTAGCAATGGCCTGTAATTCCATTTTATACATACTGCAATAGATATTCAGCCCAGAACGGTATTTCAAGACAGCAGTTTCTGAAGCAGGGAGTTGGTTCAGATAAAATAGATGCCAGACTATCAGTGCTTCATAGCCTTAGAGATAGGTTGCTAGGACCTAACTCATAACATTTCCAAGAAAGCTGCATAAATTTCTTATTGATGATCTCAATTACTTCTAAAGCATTTTTGAGAAAAAATATTTTTAGGACCAAAATAAAAGTAGGTTATAAAGTCCTAGCTCTTGAGGACAATGGGGAGAGAAAGATTTTATATGCTGGAAAGAGGGTATTTTTTTTGATAGATTATCTGAAATAACATATCCTTCATTAGTCAGTGCTAATGAATAGTCACATCTGTTTTCATGGAACAATGGAGAATTACATAATTAATAGTTTATTCTTTTCAAAATTTAATATAACTGCTCCTTTTACACTTACTTTTAACTCTGTAAGTTATTCTCTTACTGTCTTTATATGTAATATAGGATACACTTGCCCATAATCTCATAGAATACATGAGAATATACATACACTAAAATGTGTATGTACATATATATATGTATACATACACACACACACACACACACACACACACACTTCACAGTTTAATGAGTGCTTACTATATGCCAAGTACTATGTTGAGACTAGGTATAGACCAGTGAGCAAAACTGACAGGTCTCTTACAGCCCAGTAGCAGAGACAGACAAACATGCAAATATATGCAAAATTATTAATTGTGAGAAATCAAATGAAAGCCAAGAACAGGACGCTGTAAGAAAGAATTCAGCTGAAGGAGAATTAGACTGGAGAGAACTTGGAATCTGAATCAACATAGGATGATGTCTCTAAGGAGAGGACATTTACACAGGAGAATGAGTGGAAGAAAAAGTCTCCTGGGCTTAAGAAAAGAAGGTCCTGACTCAGTGATAAGGAGTTACCAGTATTAAGAGAAGGTCAGTAGGCCCAGTGTTTTCTTGAGCAAGGCAGAGGGTCATCAAATGGTGTTTGGAAGGGAGGCCTGGGCCATGTGACTCAGAAGTCTACAGGTCCTGTGGAGGATTTATCCTAAGTAGAATAGGAATGTGCTAAAGTATTTGAAACAGGGAATGGCATGACTAGAGAAACATTTTTAAAGCATTATTCTACTGAAGTATTCTACTGGGCTCTAATGGTTCTACTATTGTATTGGGTGAAATTCTGTGATGTCTGGAGTTTGCTTTAATAAATATTCCAGATATAAAGAAAGAAAATGTGGGAGTGCCAAGGGAAATGATAACAGATAAAATAAAACTGTCAAAATATTGAAAGTTGCTAAGACTGGGTGATAAGTACATGGGAATTTGTTATACATCTCCTTGTGTTTTTGGGGTATGTTTGAAATTTTTTAAAATAAAAAGTTATTTTTCAAAAAGATAAAGAGTGAGCTTTGGCTCTGAGATTACCAGTTCAATTCTGCCACTTACTATTAGGTATGTGATTTTAGAAAAGTGATTTTTCTTCTATAATCTTTAGTTTTCACATGTATGGAATAGTGATAATGACAGTACATACCTCATAGGCCTGTTAAATATATTAATGCAATAATAGCAGAGAGTTTGGCTCATAGTAAAAATCTGGGGAATGTTAACTATTATTTTAGAATTAACTCCAGGCATATTTATTCTGTGTGTGTGTGTGTGTGTGTGTGTATATATATATATGTGTGTGTGTGTGTGTGTGTGTGTGTGTATACGTGTGTGTGTGCATATATATATATATATATTTGTTTTGTTCTGTTTTGAGACAGAGTCTCACTCCATCACCCAGGCTGGAGTGCACTGGTGTGATCTCAGCTCACTGCAGCCTCTGCCTCCTGGGTTCAAGCAATTCTCACGCCTCAGCCTCCCAAGTAGCTGGAATTACAGGTGCATGCCACCATGCCTGGTTAATTTTTGTATTTTTAGTAGAGATGGGGGTTTCACCAGGCTGGCCTCGAACTCCTGACCCCAAGTGATTCTCCCTCCTTGGCCTCCCAAAGTGTTGGGGTTACAGGCATGAGCTATCATGCTCTGCATATATATATATGTATATATATTTAAACCATTCTGGTGTCTGTAGGGAAAATGGATGGGAGCAATGAACGGTGATGTAAAAGATCAGTTAAGAGCAATTGGTGAGTTCAGCTGAGTAGCACTGGAGCAATGGGGAAGGAGTGACATCGATTAAGGAGCCGCTGGAAAATGGATGGTGCTGAAAGCCCTGCAAAAAACCAAGATCTCCTGAGATAGTTCCCAGGGGTTCTTGACTCCTCCAACTTTTTTTTTTTTTTTTTTTTTTGCCATGGACTCCTTTGGCAGTGATAAAGCCTATAGGCTCCTTCTCAGAATGATGTTTTAAGATGCATAAAATAAAAGGCATAGGATAACACAGAAAATTATCTTGAAATACAGTTACTAAAACGTTTAAAAAGTAATTTTTGATATAGTAAAAAGTTTTTTAATAATGTATTAAGTAACTAGATCCAGAAGGCTGAAATATTGAGGTGGGGATGAGCATATATATTTCAAGCTATCTAAGTATAATGTGACATAAAAATATTGATTCTTTGTATTAGTAACTGTCACAGTTCAGTTTCCCCAGAAAGCAGAATCTAAGCTGGAGATTGGCATTTGGGGAGTTTGCTAGGGAACGCTCTTGACATCAACATGAGGGAAGGCAAGGTGGAACTGGTCAGAGAAGGATGACATTGAGCTGTGATGAAGTCTGAGAGGAAGCTTCAGCCAACCTTACAGAAGGTCTGAAGATTATATGACCCTTCAGAAGTGCCCTGAATCAAAGAGGGCCAGGTGTTTATTACCCAGCTGAGGTGGCTCTCTGCAACTGAGGCCATTTCCCTGGGGCTGCCAGCTGAGGGCACTCTGCCAACAGCTTTCATAGTAGCTGGGGTAAGTCCTCATTTCTGAAAGAAGATCTAGGTGTAACATTATAACATCAATCACAGTGACAAATTTATAGGTTCGGCAAGTTCCACTGTGGCTTGCTGCCTACATTCACAGTTGAAGAAAAGACTGAATTTCGGTTAGAGATTAGTGGAAATGAAAATGTAATTTTAAAATCCTATCCAAATTCACAAACCCCACATGGACCCCAGGTTAAGAATACTTGTGAGTGAGAAGGGGGCCCCATATTCAGAGAGGCTGGTCAGGCTCTGTTGTTTGCTGGAACACAGTAAGCTGTCTTCTGCTGTAGGGAAAAATGAGCAGATTGAACCTAAGCATTAAAATAAAAAAATGAGCAGGGAAAGTGTGTTTTCCAGAGCAAGAATGATGCCCAGGAACAAAGCAAGTCAGACAGGATAGAGTCCACAGTACCAGAGAGAAAGACACAGATTGATGTGCAGCTGCCTGAGTCTACTTTTGAATTACAGATTTTAATCCTTCATGAAACCAAACAATACCTCCAGCTCTTGGTGTAGAAACACTCCTATGTCTTTATAATGTTATTTTCTCATGTAAGCTAGTTTAAGTAGGTTTCTGCTGCTTACAAGCTGACGTATCTTGTTGAATACAGAGATACTTTAAAACTCCTCCCTTAACACACACATACACAGAAATTCTTGAAATTTGCAGGAGTTTGGGGTGAGGAGCATCTAGCAAGGAACATGGAGTTGGGAATGGTTGAAGCATTGCTGCTGGGATCTATTAAGGCTCTGAGCTCTCCATGAAAGTATTGGCTTTCTCTTTGATGGCCTTTGCTGTATTGGATAACTCATCTACAAAAATGACTTATTTTTAATGTAGAACTGTGATAAACTTCAACATTTTGATGATTATCATGCTTTAAAACGAGAATAAAGATAGCTATTATATTTTTTAATTTGACAGAGTAGTGCAGGCAATAATGAAATGGTATTCATCTGAATAGCAATCTTTATTTTTAAAATCCAAAGGCACTCAATAATGTGATCTGTGCACTTTGCTATTATGATGATATATAGCATATAAAATGTTAAGCACGTCTAACATTTAATTCATTTCAATCATACCAGTCAAGATATAATAAATCAACAAAACCAACAACTCCCTCCCAAACATTACCTAGTGAACTACTCTTAGCTTTTTTATTTAGTCACGAAATTTGAAAATTATCTCTGAATTAGCATAGCTATTCACATTATTTTCCCCAACAACAAAAGAAATGCCACTGTAATAGTTGCTTAGTACTTTTTAACATGAAATTGATGTTAGTGACAGATTTTCAAGCATGTAATTTGTCTCAACATGTGTGTCCTTTTATTTGTAAAAACTCCCAGGACTGAAGAATGAAGTTTCAAAAAGTTATTTATTGTGTCTCCTGGCAGGGTAGAATCCACGGAAAACAATCAACTAACAGAACTGTGTGATGGTCTATAAGATTTGGAATTATACCATTGTTATAGAGGGGAAATAAAAGACATTTCTCCTGTACCAGCTTCTCCTCCCCCACCACCCCTAGTAAGAAGTGGAAAATGAATATACCAAATGAACATACTTGGATTTGATTTTATGATTTGATTTTTATGATGGAACGTCTTGTAAATGGGAGCAGATTCCTAAAAAAATTACAATGCCAGCCCAGTTCTAAGCACTGCATCCCCAATTACTTTGAAAAGAGGCTCTTGTAAGCCAACTGTGCAGTCACCTCTGATTATAAGGTTTGGAAGGAGTATCTTCCAGGACCTACCCTTAGCCTGATTCAGCAGATGACAATCCATTTCCTTTTAAACTTTTTTTTTTGCATCAGAAGATGCAGTAAGTTGTAAGTATTACACAGAATACTTAGGCACAGAAAACACAATAAGTAGTAAGATGTGTCTCTTAAGGGGCTCACAATTAAGTATGAAAAGAGATTATTAGAGAAACAAAGAGTTAAATCTTCTAATAGAGGTGGTGGTAGAAAGGTGTGTTGTAACCAGTCTCTGGTCAAAATGAAACCAATTTTGGCTAGAGGAATCAGGGATCTGGTTATACAGAACCCAAAGGACTTATAGTTGGTGAAAAAAGGAAGCAGCAAGTAGAGCAAAGATGGGTTGTCCAACTCCCCTTGATTGCACTCTCTCCAGGGGAGGGAACAATAACCCCTTACTCCTTGAGACCAGTCAACATGTGTTTGCCCTTGAGATAGCTTTCCCTAGTGTCTCTGGGGAGCTAGGAAACAACAGGTTAGGGTCTTTGTAATTCTTGCCTCTGCCAGGGCCTTGGCCAGAGATCTGGGAGGACAACAGACTCTTCCCCTATGTGCTGCTAGAAAACTGGTTTAATACTGTTTTCTTTTCTTTCTTTCTTAATTTTTTTAAGAGACAGGATCTCACTTTGTTGTTCAGGCTGTAGTGCAGTGGGGCAGTTGTGGCCCACTGCAGCCTCAACCCCCTGGGCTCAAGTAATCTTCCTGCCTCAGGCTCCTGAGAACCTAGGACAACAGGTGCTCGCTGCCATGCCTGGCTTTTTTTTTTTTTTTTTTTTTTTTTAAATTGTTGGTAGAGACAGGGTCTCTTTATGTTGCCCAGGCTGGTCTTGAATTCCTGGCCTCAAGTGATCCTTCTACTTCAGCCTTTTAAAGTGCTGGGATTATAGGCATCAGCCACCAACCCAGCTGCTTGTAACATTCTTGAAATGTTGACTCCATTGGAGTGACCAGCAGAGCTTGCCATGCCTCCCGATCTGTACTCTTTGCTGTAGTTTAGATATTTGTCCGCTTCAAATCTCATGTTGAAATCTGATCCCCAGTGTTGGAAGTCGGGTTTAGTGGGAGGTGTTTGGATCATAAGGATGGATCCCTCATAAATAGATTAATGCCCTGCCATGGTGAGAGTAGTGAGTGAGTTCTCTATTAGTTTTCCCAAGAGCTGGTTTTTTAAAAGAGCCCGGTGCTTCCCTCTCTCTCTTGCTTCCTCTCTCACCCTGTGATCTCTGCACACACTGGCTCCCCTTCCCCTTTTGCCATGAGTGGAAGCAACCTCCAGCCTTTACCTGATGTAGATACTGGTGCTGATTTTTGTACAGCCTATAGAATTGTGACCTAAACAAACCTCCTTTTCTTTATAAATTACCCAGACTCAGATATTCCTTTATAGTAACACAAACAGATTAAGACACTTCCCACCCAGTTGTCTCTCAGACCTCATTACGGTTATTCTTCTTACATGTGTTCCACTTTAGCTGCTTGGGTCCCCATGCTTTTCTCAACACACACGCTGGTGCTCCTTCTTGCCTTTGCATTGTCGTCCCCTCTCCTGGGAACATGCCTCCTTTAGTGACCTGAATGGCTCACCACTTCACCTCCTGTAGGTCTTTGCTTTGGTGTCACCTTCTCAGTGTGGCCTTCCCTGGCCATCCTGTTTGACACTGGCCCTACTTCTTTCCAGAGTTCTATCTTTCCTGCTTGATTTTCCTCTGTTGTACTCATCCCTACCCACATACTTTGTATTCCTCTTTTTTAATTTGTTTATTGCCTTTTTTCCTCCTTTAGACCACAAGCTCCATGAGGACAGAAATTTTGGTCTGCTTTATCCCCTGATCTCTCCCCAGCACCTAGCACATTGTACCTGGTGTATAATACATTTTTTTAAGATCTCTCCCCAGTACCTAGCACATTGTACCTGGTGCATAATACAATTTTTTTTTTTTTTTAAGAGACAGGGTCTTGTTCTATCACCCAGGCTAGAGTGCAGTGGCATGATCATAGCTCACTGCAGCCTCAAACTCCTGGGCTCAAGCAATTCTCCTGCCCCAACCTCCTAAATAGACGGGACCACAAGTGTGTGCCACCATACCTGGCTAATTTTCTTTTTTTTTTTTTTGAGATGGAGTCTCCGCTCTGTTGCCCAGGCTGGAGTGCAGTGGCATGATCTTGGCTCACTGCAAGCTCTGCCTCCCGGGTTCATGCCATTCTCCTGCCTCAGCCTCCCGAGTAGCTGGGACTACAGGCGCCCACCACCATGCCCGGCTAATTTTTATATTTTTAGTAGAGACGGGGTTTCATCGTGTTATACCTGGCTAATTTTTTAAAACCATCTGTAGATATGGGGTCTTGCCATGTTGCCCAGGCTGGTCTCCTGGCCTCAAGCGATCCTCCTGCCCTGGCCTCCCAAAGTTCTGAAATTATAGGTGTGAGCCACTGGGCTTGCCTTACAAATATTTTAGAGTTAAATTAAATATATATACATTTCAAAACTTTTCCTTTTTATAGAATATGTGCCCCAAACGGCCAATATTCGAACTGTTTTCTCACTATTTTTTTGTAGGGTGAGCTTGCTGATAGCCATATGTGCTAGCCAATACTGGATTTTCTGATTTCTTTATTCATTTAAAAATTATCCTTTATGGTGACTTTATTATTGAGCTCTCCTCTTCTGCTTGTGTACTGTGCAGTCTACTATGGGAGGAGTGAGTCCAGTTAAGGTGCCCTTCTTTAAGGGGAGGCCTGCTAAGTGGATCTTCTCTAGATAGTGAGGAGAACTGGTGAGTGAGCAATCTAGACCAGAACATGTATAATACTGGAGGGGTCTTTAGCCCAGAGATTTACAAAGAAGGCCAAAGGATTTATCAGTAATTACCCTATCTATGTAATACATGTAGATAAAGATAGATAGGCATGTATATGCATATATACAGATACCTATGTATATATCTATCTATATACATATATACATGTAGATATATACATACCTATATACATGTAGAAATATAGATGTAGATATAAATATATATATATGTGTATAGAGATATGTGTAGACATATATAGATGTATACATATATAGATAGATAGGTCTATATAGAAAACCATCTATCTATATCTAGATAGAGATATGTATTGATAGATATCTCTCCCTATCTATCTCTAGATAGATTATCTAATCTATCTGTAAAACTATCTTAAAACCATACTAATTTAAAAATCAAGATTCATCTTAATTTAAAAATCTTAATTTAAAAGTTAAGAACCATCTTTATTTTGTGGTTCATATACACCATGGAATGTTAGGCAGCCATAAAAGAGAGTGAGATCAAGTCCTTTGCAGGAACATGGATGGAGCTGGATGGAGGTCTTTATCCTTAACAAACTAAGGCAGGAACAGAAAACCAAATACTGCATGTTCTCATTTACAAATGGGAGCTAAATTATGAGAACACATGAACACATAGAGGGAAACAACAGACACTGGGGCCTCTGGGAGGGTGGATGGTGGGAGGAAGCAGAAGATCAGGAAAAACAATTAATGGGTACTAGGCTTAATAGCTGGGTGGTGAAATAATCTGCACAACAAATCCCTGTGACACTAGTTTACCTACATAACAAACCTACGCATGTGCCATTGACCTGAAAATAAAAGTTAAAAAGATTATTAAAAATATGTCAGTAAAAGTCTTTAACCAACACCAAATGGTTCATCCCAAGAGTCATCTTAATTTAAAAATCTTCACATCTTAAGAAGCTACATGGGAGGCTGCGGCAGGAGAATGGCTTGAACCTAGCAGGCAGGGGTTGCAGTGAAGCGAGATGGCAACATTGTACTCCAGCCTGGGCGGCAGTATGAGACTGTCTCAAAAAAAAAAAAAAAAAAGAAGCAACTTTGCTGCTTAAATTGAGTATAATACCCATTTACATTTAATGTGGTGAATGAAAAATTTGGTTTTCATTTACCACCCTACAACTGAATTTTTAATTCCTCCACATATTCTATTTGCCTTTCTCAACTATTATTTTATAGATAAAAGGACTTACAGAAAGCAAATATATGATTCAATATTCCAATAAAAGTGCTTTTTAAATTTATATTGAGCATTTTATCCTTCTTTCTTAAAAATCTTAAGCTACACACATTACATAGCTAGGCACTGATAAGAATCTAGTACTAGATAACCATTTCAAAGGCATAGATAGAATGCTTTCCAGGTATGGATTGTTTCCATAACTCCCCTTCCATACATTTTAAAGCCATTGCATAAAAAATAAGGAATTTTGTAGAGAGGAGTGAGTTTATATCCTTTAATATTTTCTCACTTTAGAAGTGCAGTCTTGGAATGATATAAACTCTGTAAACAGACTATCATGCTACATTTACAGAGAATTATATCAAGGTGTCTATTTTTAAGACAAGAATAAAAATTATGTTTTTTTCTAATAATAGAAATGGATAAGCAGAATTCTGGCTTCTAATAATGAGAACATACTATCCCCTAGTTTGAAATAAGTTAGATAATTTAACTTTCTCATGTTATCTTGAAGTTAATACATCATTTGTATTGAATGTATCAGTGCACTACATGAAGTCGTACATTGGATACCATCCCTTTTATCTTCCACATAAAGTGATTTAGTGTTTTAATACACTTCTTTCCATATCCTGCAGTTTTGCATAGCAAAAGCAGCATGCACTTTGAGGAAAATGTACCTTTTAATTTTCTGTATTTTAAATATTATGGGTACAAAATATTTGTATATAATTATGGAGTACATGTGATGTTTCAATACCTCCTTTTTGATCCCAGATCTTTCCTGAATTTTTTGTCCAATTTGTATTGCATTATTTATGTTTGAAAAGGAGTAATGATGTTTAGTATATACTGTTATAAAATAACTGATTCAAAGGATGTAAAGTATCTGATACTATGTCCAAATATGATTTCTAAGCAAATGTTCCTAACAATACATAAATAATAACATGGAATAATAAAATAACATGGAATAAAATAAATTCATATAGCTTTATGATTAATAATTTTACCTAAATTAAAAAGTGTTATGTGCAAATAGATGGTATACGACACTTGGCATGTAATAATGCAATTAAGTCCAATTGAATATATTGCTTGATTTATGTCCACCATCTTTGATACATGTATTGTATATCCAAACATCAAAAACCATAAGTAGCCTGTATAATGCTTTTTTTATTCTCTGTAAAGTTTTTAATATAAATATATAAAAGAGCATCTTAAATTATTTAAATAAGTCAATTATTTTATATGTGGATTTGGTATTAGAACATATATCTTCTTTTGCACAATAATCTTTTTTAAGTGTCAGAAATTATATAATTATATAGTGACTTTTGTTCACAAGGTAGTTAGTTGTACGTACCTACAAGATACTTGAAAAATATTTTTGTCGAGATTGGATGCATTTTTCTCTTATAGACTCTTAAAAATGTTAACAAGCCAACACGTGAACGTACTGAAGTATTTTTTAATCATCTTTTCTAGTGTTGATAATGAGTTGGCTGATATAAAGTCATTAGAGTGGCAATTCAACAAATATTTTCTATGGCATAACAAATGTCATTAACTTGCTAGTCTGTCACGATGTTGCAAAGCTAAAGTCACATTCATTTGTGTTTTTTGTTGTTGTTGCTGTAGTGGTGGTTTGTTTTGTTACATGAAGTGGCCCACTTCTTGTATTAAATGATTTATTCTTTCTGAAAATGTTCAATCAGAATGTAATAACACCTTCAAAAATGATTTAAAAATGTATTCCCATAGGTGGGAATTGAGCAATGAGAACACTTGGACACAGGGTGGGGAAAATCACACCCCAGGGCCTGTCGGGGGGTGGGGGCAGGGGGAGGGATAGCATTAGGAGAAATACCTAATGTAAATGATGAGTTAATGGGTGCAGCAAACCAACATGGCACGTGTATACCAATGTAACAAACCTGCATGTTGTGCACATGTATCCTAGAACTTAAAGCATAATAAAAAATATATATATTTATTTCTACTGAACACAATGTCTATATATTAGATGACCTAGAACTGGTAGGGGGTTCTAATCCAGGGGATTGTTGATAAACTCAGACAACTTCTGTATTTTTACATTGTTACTCTTAAAGTCTTGTCATTGATTGTCTCAATATTGGAAAATAACATGTCAATATTCAGTGTAATAAACTGGAAGAAAAAATGGGCCAATATCCCATTCAATTAAAGACATGAAAAAGAGTGTGTATGTATTACTTCTGCTCACATCTTAATGTTCAACATGTCGTCACCAAGCCAGATAGAACCATATACTGGGGAATGTAATGTTTATCTGAGAAACCAAATGCCTAAATACAAATTTTAGTAGTACGAAGTAAGAGGAAATAAATATGGGGGATTTTCTAGTCTTCTCTATTATATATAAATTGCAAGATTTGGCTACTTTAAAAAATATTAACATTTACTAATTTTTCATCAATTCAAATATCATATTGTAGAGTGCAATTTAATCAAATTAGATAACAGTCCCAAATATAACATTTAACTGTACATCTTCCAGAAGCCAAAAAATGAGAAATTATTTGTGGCTTTTGGCTAGACAAAGATTTCTTAGATGTGGCCCAAAAGAACAACCTAGAGAACAAACAAAAAAACCAGTTACAACAACAATAGATATGACTTCATAAAAACAAAAAATTCTATATTTCTACCCTATATGCTTCAAACTAGGAATAGACATTTCCAAATTATATCTGATAAAGAATGTGTATCCAAAATATGTAAACTCAATTATAAGGAAAATTACAGACCAACAATAAACAATAAGGAAAAGAATATACTTGAACACATACTTTGCCAGAGGAAATTCAGAGACAGCAAATAATCACATCAAAAGATGTTCAATATCTTTAGCCATTAGAGAAATACAAATTAAATGAGATGCCATTCCACACCTACACATACTTTGCCAGAGGAAATTCAGAGACAGCAAATAATCACATCAAAAGATGTTCAATATCTTTAGCCATTAGAGAAATACAAATTAAATGAGATGCCATTCCACACCTACTAGAATAAATACAATTAAAAATACTCATCATCTTGTGTGTTGGTGATGATTTAGAACAACTGTAATTCTCAAATACTGATGGTAGGAAAGTAAAATGATACAGCCACTCTGGGAAAAAAAAATGGACTGTTTCTTACAAAGTTAAATAGACCCCCATCATTTTACCTACTTATTCTACTGTTGCTCTTTAAGCAGAAAACAGTACAGCATATATACATACAAGAATGTGTTTGCAAGTGGCCATGACAAACTTATTTATACTAACACTAAACTGTAAACAACCCAAAGTTTATCAATGGGTGAATAAATAAACCAAACACGGTATACTCATAATATGAGATATAACCACACACACACACACACACACACACACACACACACACACACAAACCGTATTTTCAACAAACGGTGCTAGAACAGTTGGACATCCACATCCAAAAAAAAGAATCTAGACACTGTGTTTACACAATGTACAAGAATGGATAATAGATTTAAATATAAAAATGTGAGACTATAGAAGAATGTTATAAGTTGAATTTAATAAAAATTAAAACTTCTGCTCTAAGAAAGTCATAGTTAATATTTAAAAAACAAGCCAAGACTGGGAGACAATATTTACAAAACATGTATCCAATAAAGAACTGGTATGAGCACGCCACAGAACTCTTAAAACTCAAAAAGAAAAAAAAAAGATAAATAATCCAGTTAAAAAATGGGCAGGAGATCTGAACAGACATTTCACTGAGGAAAATATATTGATGGCAAATAAGCGAATGAAATATGCTCAACATCATGTATTATTAGAGAATCGCTCATTCGAACGAGATACCACCGCATGCCTACTAAAATGGCTAAAATCCAGAACACTGAAAACACTAAATTGTGTTGAAGATAAAGAGCAAGGGAAACTCTCATTTATTGCTTGTGGGAATGCAAAATGGCACAGCCACGTTAGAAGATAGCTTTGCAGTTTCTTACAAAGTTAAATGTAGTCTTACCACATGGACCAGTAACTTCACTCCTATCCAAATGAGTCAAAAATATTTCACTCCTATCCAAATGAGTCAAAAAAACTTCACTCCTATCCAAATGAGTCACAGGACTCCTTAAAATAGCTTTTCTCATAACAAAACTTGGTAGCTACCAGATGCCCCCAACAGGTGAGTAATGGTTCAATAAACTGGCATACCTATAAAATGGGATATTCAGTGATTAAAAAATAAGCTATCAAACCATACAAAACATGCAAGAACCTAAAATGCATACAACTTAGTGAAAGAAGCTAATCTGAAAAGGCTGTATACTGTATAATTCCAATGACACAACATTCTTAAAAAGGGAAAAACTGTAAAAAGATCAGAATTTCCAGTAGTCTCCAAGGGAAGGGACGAATAAATCAAGCACAGAAATTTTTAAGAAAGTAAAACTATTCTTATAATATTGTAGTAGTGGTTACATGACATATGCATTTGTCCAAACGCATGAAATGTATAATGTCAAGAGTGAACCCTAATATAAAACTAATGTATGGACTTTCATTTATAATAATATGTCAATATTGATGCATCAATTATAACGAATGTACCACACTAATTCAAGATATTAATCATAAAGAATATGGAGAGTAGAAGAAAGTGTATGGAAATTCTCTCTGCTTTGTTAGTTTCTACTATAAACCTAAAATTGTTCTAAAAATAAAATCTATTAATTAAAAAAAGAATGAACTATTGCTACCAGTATCAACATAGGCGAAAGTCAGAGTAGTTATGTTGAGTGCAAAAGACAGACAAAAAAGAATAGATTTTGTGTGACTCCATTTACATAAAATTCTACCAAGTGTAAACCATTCTGTAGTATCAGAAATAGATTAGTAGTTGCATGGAGATTGAGTAGGGAAGAGGGGAAGAAGCGATTACTAAAGACACAAAATAACTTTAGGGAAGTGAATATGTTCATGATCTTGATTGCCATGGTGTTTTCTCGTGTACCAATATGCCAAAACTTTAAAAATACACTGGATATGTTCAGTTTATGTCAATTACACTTCAATGAAAAACATTTTAAAATATTATGTATCTTGACTTTATGCTTATGCAGAGATATTATTTCTCTGCATAAAAAAGGTATATATGCATATATGCCATATATACCTTTTGGCATAGTGTAAAGATACATAAACATAGTATATAAATATGGTATTTGTAATATTCTTATTCATATGCAAAATATAGTTTACTTTTAATTTTTTAACTTTTCTTCTGTTTTGATTCTGTATCCTCCAGACATTAACATTGAGAACTTCATATACAATTATGTATTTAAAAATGAGTCATGTCTAGTATAATACAAAATATCAGCAATGTAACATGACAGGAACAAAATATAAATGAAGTTGCTTTGTATAGATTCATTTTTCTCATTAAAACATTTCATAGCATAATGCACTTATTCAAAAGTATTAACATATATATTTAAGTGCACTATGAAAAACAGAATCAAGAAATGGATACCATATTGATACTAAATCCTATGTTAAAGTATGTTGAATAATTTGTAGTTTTTCAAAAGTAACTCAGTCATGTCACATATTAATAATGAATATATTTATTTTTAGGAACTCCTTTTAAATAACTATTAGGTATATAGTTTTATGCTGAGTTTTATGAGAAACACAATAAGCATATCATTTTATGTCAGGAATAGAGAGTATATTTGTCCCTAGGTCATTTTCTATAGCTGTCAAAATGTTTCAACATCTTTTAAAACTCCAGAAAATGAGGAAGAAATATAGAAATGTTCCTAGGTTGTTCTTGTAACTTTATCTAGTTTTTTTCTATTCTTAATTATATTAATTCTTCCCAATGGCTTATTTAAAAATGGGTCTTCAATTGTCTTTCATTAAAATTCTATGGGGTCTCATTACGTGTAAGAAGGTTTTATTTCACACCAAGTATTTTTCTGTTATGTAAAAGGAAAATAAAGCTCTGGGCTAAAGAAATAACTTTTTTTAAAAATTTTCCCTATTGGGAAGTAGTTGAATATATACTTTGCTGTTTTCAGCTAAAACATATTAGAATGTGATTCTATTTACAACAAAAATGAAATAAGGCTGTGTTACATTGGCAAGCTGTAATGGGAAAGGTATTTGTCACCCTAGGCAAACTGAAAGGGCAGATATATTGAATTCAGTAATGCTGAATAATTAAGCCTTCACTTATAACCCTTATATTAGAGAATTCAACTTAATAAGTTAAGTCATTTTCCAAGTGTTTGTTAATGTATCAAAAGGATTTATACATTTCACAAAGGGGGACTCAAGCTAAGCTAAAGATTTATAAACACAACCAATTCACTAGAGAAATAATTTTAACCGTGTTTTTCTTGTTTTTCCAAACCTTACTCTTTCATGGAAAAAAATAAAGGCAATATTATAAAATAGATGAAAGTGCAGGGTAATTACCTTGCATTGAGAAGCCTAGAGCTCACCTGATCCACAATATTTGATAATCCATGTCACCCCTGGTTTACTTCCACAGTTCCCTTGAAGATTGAAGAGCTGTCTGAATACCACAGTCTTAGTATACTATGTTTTGTAAGGAAAACTGCCCACTCAAGAATACCTTCTATGAGAGCCAACCCATTCAGCATGTTAGGAAGTTTACTTCCATGTATGATTCAAGCCCACCTGGTCCAGTGGATTGGACAATGAATGAACGCTTGATTTAGGTGGAAGTTATCCATTTATTGGTTGGAAATCAATAAGCCTCCTTCACTTGAGAATTCTAATTGAGATGAAGGATATAATAATGATGCATACCGGATGCACAAAGCCATATAGCCTCCATAATGTTATAAAGAATAATATTATTGATCCACAGGCAAGCAATGGAGATACAAAGAGTACGAGAGTAAGAAAATAAATGTTGCCCTGGAGTGAGAGAAATTGATAAAAAGCCACTGCGTTGATTTTGGACAGGTTCTTAGTTCTATGTTCAGCCTTTATTTTCTGCCCTTGGATTCTACACTGTACATTTCAAGTTTTTTTACAAAATGGTTTTGACTACAGAAAAAGCAAGTGTGCCATTATGCCATTTTTGACATATTTTGGGAGAAATAAAGTAAAAACTATTTGTTTTTTTTATTTTTATTTATTTATTTATTTATTTTTTTATTTTTTGAGATGGAATTTCGCTCTTGTTGCCCAGGCTGGAGTGCAATGGCGCAATATTGGCTCACTGCAACCTCCGTCTCCCGAGTTCAAGCGATTCTCCTGCCTCAACCTCTCAAGTAGCTGGGAGTACAGGTGTGTGCCACCACACCCAGCTAATTTTTGTATTTTTAATAGAGGTGGGGTTTCACCTTGTTGGCCAGGCTGGTCTCGAACTCCAGATCTCAGGTGATCCACCCACCTCGGCCTCCCAAAGTGCTTGGATTACAGGCTCCAGCCACCGCACCCGGCCGTAAAAAGAATTAAGAGAGTTTTTCAGAGTAGTTTCTGAGTTACATGTAAAAACAAGATAAAAAAATTTAGTAACAGCTCTGTAGCTTTCAAAATTAAGCAGTCAGATTTCTGTGTGGCTGAGAATTTCTAGCAGTCTCCTCCATTAGAATTTGCCATGCCCAAAATGTCCCATGCTATACAGTTAAATGATTAATGTTTGAGTAATATTCAGTTTGAAATTTAAATTTTTCCTCTTGAGGGGAAAACATGCTTAGCCTTTCATTATAAAATTATCCAAGCTTTCCTCTCATTTCTATGTTCAAATTCATTGCATGAGTTAAAGCATCTTAAGGCTTCCTTCTAAACAATTTATATATTTGCCCTACGATTTCAACTAGTCCTAATCTCAGAGGATCACTTCACTGGAAGTTGTGCAAAAGTAAAACGAAATGGAGATTAACTATACTAAATTGTCATGTTGAGCTTCGTGATAAATTTAGTTACAAAGATATTATTCAAATTGGAATTAACTGCAAATCTCCCCCCAATGAAAGTGGAGTGAAGTTGGCCGGGTGCGGTGGCTCACGCCTGTAATCCCAGCACTTTGGGAGGCCGAGGCGGGCGGATCACAAGGTCAGGAGATCGAGACCATACTGGCTAACACGGTGAAACCCCATCTCTACTAAAAATACAAAAAATTAGCCGGGCACGGTGGCGGGCGCCTGTAGTCCCAGGTACTCGGGAGGCTGAGGCAGGAGAATGGCGTGAACCCAGGAGGCAGAGCTTGCAGTGAGCCCGACATCGCACCACTGCACTCCAGCCTGGGCCACAGAGGGAGACTCCGTCTCAAAAAAAAGAAAAAAAAAAAAAGAAAGTGGAGTGAAATTACTATATAAACCTAGAGTTATGAACATCAAAAAACATGATATAGCAATAAAATAATTTAATGTTGACTTAAGGAGTCATAAATCAGATATTTTATTCAACGAACTCTGATTTTTAATTATAACATAAGAATTATAAATTAGTATCTAAAAATCATTGTTTCTTAATAAATAATGAGTCGACAAAAATAATAGTTGAAAAATAAAATTATGTAGGATGGTTATATTGTGAAAATTTCCATTAAAAATTAAAATAATAAAAAAATCACCTTTGGAAACTACTTTTATTTAAAATATCAGGAATCCAGAAAATTGCAACTTTTCTTGATCTACATAATCATTTTTACATGAAATTTTAATTCCATAACCATTGCAAAGATTTTTCTTAATAAACACAGTATTAAGTATCAAACACCTTCTGTGAAAGTACAATAGAACACAAACATATACTAGAGGTATTGTTTTCTGCATTTATGCATGAACAATAAGATTTTTTAAATTTTTGACTTATCTGTGGAAATATGATAGAGAATTGTATGGTATGGTTTAAGTATTATTCATTTCTGCACTTAGATGAGGTAATTTTTTCTTTTCTAGATAAACTCTAATTCCACTTTTTCCATACAGTACACACATATACATGCATATATATGTTTCTGTTAAACAACAGTAGTGAGATTTTAACAAATGACTTACCTGTCTTTCTGAAAAGTGTCTTGTCTGTTAATGTCATATGAGCCTGTAAGGGAAGAAAGGGACTATATTACAAAGGAACAGAAATGATCCAGGAGAGTATGAATACAACTGGATTCTAAGAATACTGGGCTATTGGGTATTGGGATATAGATTGGGATAAAAGAGTATACCCCTATCAGAGCACTGTCAGTTTCACTACTGATATGGTACAAACACATGACAGGATGGTTCGTAGTATCAAGGAAAAAGTGATGGCCTCAGGTGAGGTTGCAATGTCAAATTTCCCATGGAAGATGACAGAAGATGCATATATCACTAAGAAAATAATATGTAGAATAGTTAAAATCTACTCTCAATAATTTTTAAGTTATTTTAAATTATATACTATTGTTATTAACTATAGTCACTATTTCCATAGTCACTATAACTACAATCACTATAGATCTATTACATAATATACAATAGATCTCTGAAACTTATTTCTCCTGTCAACTGAAATTGTTTCCTTTGACCAACATTGAGATAGCAACTTTTATCACAATTTAAAAAGTATAACATAAAACAATGTAATTTTATAACAAGGAAAAGGCATTTCTTGAAAGTTAATTCACAAAATTGAATGAATGAATTGCTAAACAAAACAATGTCAACAACCAAAACAACTCTAGATATCTCAGGCAGAATGAATTCAAAGAAAACCACTGCGCATATTTCTTCTCAACATTAGATTCACAATGGAATCACCTGGGACAATTTTTTTTTAAAGAAACGAATGCCTACATATCATGTCCAGACTCTGATTTATTTGTTATTAAATATGGCCTGGACATCACTCTACTCCTGACGTCCCTGCTCAAGAATCAACTTCCGGGAAGAGAGACTGGGACTCACTGATTTTGGTGCTATTCAGTTGAACTATGCCCTTACTGATTTTCCACCTGCTGGTTCTATTCATTATTGATAGAGAGGTGTTAACACCTCCAACTATCATAGTGGATTTATCTGTCTGTTCTTGCAGTTCTGTTTTCGCCTCATGTGTTTTGACAGCCTGTTACATGCAAACACATTAAGGATTGTTACGTTTTCTTGGAAAATTAAATCCTTTGTTACTATGTAATACCCCTTTGTATCCCCCTATAATTGTTCTTTCTCTGAAGTCTTTTTGTTGGAAATTAATATATTAATCCAGCTTTCTTTTAATTAGTATTATCATGTTATATATTTTTCAAAGTTAACTCTCAAGCTTGTCCACAATGTGCTTCCAGAAATTAATCAACTGCATATTAAAGTTTTCTACTCCATTACTAACTCCTGTGGGGGCTCCTGGGCTTTTGCTCCACTAGGCTATAATTCTTTGCATTTTCCCATCTCTCTAATTTAGTGGGGATTTAGGGTGGGGGCAGCAGTTTTTCTGTGACCTCAGTCCTCTAATGGATCTAAAATGAGTTGTTGATAGTCTGTTTGTTCAGCATTTTTCTTGTTGTAAGGATGGGAGTGATGACTTTCAAGTTTCTTACATACTCGAATAACTGACATTTTTTATTATATACTCACCCCTGTGGTGGTAGAAGAATGCTATAAATTTTGGATCCACAGAACTAAAGTACGAGAGGGAATTTTTCACAGGAAAGATGGTTGCTACAGAAAAAAAAAAGAAAGAAAGAAAAAAAAGATAAAGTCTTCTCTGCTATCTCTGCTAGACTCTCTAAACTCTTCCTGTCTCTGGAGTCCAGACACCCAAGCCTCCTTTTAGTTTTGAGCTTTCACTGTGCTTTTATCTTAAAGACTTTGCCTACTATGTCTTTTCTGCTGAGAAAGCACCTTATCCCCTCAATTACCTGGTTAACATCAAATATCAAATCATGCTTCTGACTGAAGGCCAAGTACCACCTCTAGAAGAAATCTTCCCTAAGAACAGCCTACATACAGTTAATTGTGTGATCCCTTTTCTTATATCCTTCGAATACTCTTCCTTCACATTACTCTTCCTTCACAGCCTTTAGCCAGACAATACATTACAGGAAAACAGGGAGAACATGATTTTGCCACTCACTCTTACCTTTGCCTAGCCCAGTGCCTGGCAAATGATAGATTCTCATTTTATATATATATATATATATATATATTTGAATGAATTAATAAATCCAAGTAAAGTAATTGATGTTTTGGAGTTATCTAAGGCTGTTAAAATCAGTTAAATATAGTTAATGTGAAGCAAAAAACTGTAAACAAAATTAACGTAATATACACGCTGATGTTACTATTTTAGAAAAAAACACAATAATTTACAAATTCCTTTCAATAATTCAATTAATGTTTATGAGATTTGATTGAAGACAAATCTGTCACAGCAATCTGTGAATGCTTTGTTGTAAATAAAAGGTAATCCTTGTAATAAGCAAAAACAAATTAACATAACAAATGTCAATTTACAGATAGACAAAAAGTGATTGTTTTCTGGATGAAAAGAGGATTATTAACAGTTGGCATAAGAAATCAAAAATTAGTTCAACAATTAGTCATATGGAAATGTCAAATATTGACATTAATGTGATAAAGAAAACAAGAGTTTCTGCAAATAACCTCCCATCCCTGATGTGAGTCTTTCACGTCATTCTATAGTTCAACTAGTTCTTAATAACTCAAAAACAGGAAAGATAAAATCCATCATTTTGTTTTACTACCCAGATCCCTCCCGTAGCTGTCATACAGAGTGTGATTTATGACTTGTAAGTTGTGCTGTGGAGCTTGACAAGTAAGTTTGATTTCATTTAATATTTTCTTTAAACCATCTTAGATCTTTGACAAGTATTTCATCTATTAGTGTTCTCAAAATGTAAAATGGGTAACTTAATGAGAACAAAAATTGTACCCTAAGATATATTTGCACTATCTACATATTTGCAATTAAATCTTAACAGATTTAATTGTAATAAATCTAATGGTTTTCCTCTTGAATTTCCTTAGACACTAGAAATTTTTATTACTAATAAATAATGTTTAGCTTCCTAGTCACAAACCAAACAGAAAGCAAATTTCATCAGAGTTTAGAATGGTTAAAACCAACATAGCTGCAATATTTTTAGTTTTGCTTTAAAATTTTGTTTAATCAATCAGTAAATCAATCAGAGTTGACCATTATGTAATCCACAGACCTTGAAATAACAGAGATATATTTCTCCGCAGATCAATATCTATATATGTTTTTAAGATAAGTAGAAATTCCCCTGAAGATCATAAAGAAAAAGTATGTCATATAATATAGTTAAAAAAATAGTTATTAATTTTTTCTGCTTATGATGTTCCAGAATCTGTACTAAGCATTTTAGAGGATTATTTTATTTAATTCCCACAATAATCCCTTGAGAAATATACTACAATAATCATCTTTAATTCACAGTTATTGAAAATGAGACACAAAGAGGTTAAGAATTTTGTCCAAGGTCAGGCAGCTAGCGTGACTTAGCAAGGGTGTAATTAAGAAAAAATATGTTTTTCTTATCTTATGGGAAATTTGGAAAAGCAAATATCTACATTCTCTTTTTAATAAAAAAAATAAAATATAAAATGTGAGTCTCTCTTAAAGCAGGGAATCAACTTTAATTAAATTGAAACAATACACAATCCTTTGTTGTTCAGGTTCTATATTATTATTATCTCTGCTGACAGCAAAAGCTAAGAATAGAAAATATTTCTGACCCAAGTTGGCAAATTATGAATCAACCTGCTAAAGAATCAGAATAGACTAACAAGTGGAATTAAATATGATTATTCTATATTATATGTATAATATAAAAATTTCTTGTTATAATTTTACTAAGATTCTACCAGTTTCAACTAAATTATCTTTTAAATCCAAGCTTAATAAAAGAAATTGGCATGAGATGTTTTCATAGGAAATAGTGACAATTCATATTATTTTTAATTAAGTGCAAATGAGATACATTATTTCTGTATTTCATTTTCCTTCTAAAAGTCATCTTTAAAGTTTTAGTTTTTCTGAAGTTGACAGCTATTACTAAGTCTTTTGGGCAAAGTTTTTTGAGATAGATTAATTTATAAAATTAGGAAGAAACTAAAGTAGTTGCAAAAGTTTCTAAAAAGATAATAAAGTAGTTGTCTCTATGTTATAATAGAAAATGAGAATGTGAATGCAGATCATTTTGACTCTGTTTGTGTTTTCAGCAAATATTACCTGAATATTGATATATAAATTGGAATTCCCCAAAGGAAAACATTTTAAAATGTTAAGATAAATAAAATCATTAACTTACATACTTGTCCTTAGTATCAGAACAATCTCCAGTGGATTCAACAGAGCATCTGCCGTTTTCTTGAACAAAGGTTTCTGCAATATAGATTTATGGTGTGAGCTTACTGGGTCACATTCTTTGTTCCTTCTTGGAGCTTTGGGAGGCTTTTATAAAAGAGCTGCTGCAGTAGAAGGACTGAGTTGTGTCACACTGAGGATTTAAGTTTCTATGGGAGAATCAAATTCACTTTAGTATAGGGATTTAGTGGGTTTCCCTAGCCTTATTAATAAAATACTAATACGACATGAAAAATGCATACTTTGTCTTACAATAATCCAATTAAGACACTATTTTTGCATAGCAAAATTCTTTACTAAACACCAGTTGCAAATCAAGTGAAATTGCATTGGCAAGAGGTGATCATACTGCTCTCCTACTCCTGCCCTTTCCTCCTACTCCAGCTGAAAATACTTGCTGCAAATGTCCTTTTATAGGAGACTTTGACTCCAGGGTATAGAAAAGGAAAGGAAAGGTCACATATATATATGTCTTGTCTATAACTGAAACCTAATACCAGCACAAAAGCCTAAAAGGACCGATTTTTAGAGGGCGTTGGCAGGAAACTCTTTGCTCTGCTATCATCTGTTTTAAGCTACTTTTATACATGATTTATTTTTTCAGCTTCTACTCTGCTACTATTCAACTGCAAATGCAATTTGTTATATTGTACACTTCAACACCTTGAACAGCATCCTAATTATTAGTGAAATGTATTACGAGTTCATAAAGAAAACAGCATTTTGTTTCTTCAGTGATCTACTTAGGATGAAAGTGTTATTTAGAAAACAATACATGGGAAAAATGATACATTAAAAATAAAAATTGCATATTAACTTTTTAGATCAAATAAACCAATTTTAAGCATTTTCATGGACCTTTATAAGCAAAATAAACATTTAAATACAGATAATTTAATTCAGTATTTTGTTTCTTGAAAATATTGGAATATGTGTTTTAGATAATGCATATATTTCTGTTATTGAAAAATAAGCTTTCAATAGTCAGCTGACTTCATACGTAAATAATAATACCATTTTAAATTTATTCAAGGATTTAGGTGTTCTTAAATATGACTTTATAACTTATTTTACTCCCTTAAAGTAAATATTTATGGCATCTGTAAGTCACTGTAAAATTGTAAAATTGGTATAGCATAGTATTCAGATTGCCCTTTGTAATGTTTTATACTATTCACATTTGTATTTAATCACAAATTTGATACAATTTAGCCAAACCTTCAATACATTTATGAAGAGAGCACTACGGAGACTTTATACAATGGAATAAAATAACAAAATGTGCTGACAGCATTCTTCCACTCAAAGAGGTATATATATTTTTTATTCTAATTCTTTAATTTTATTTTTTAGCACCCAATGATGGGGAAAATTACTGGAAGTGTGATTAAGGCTATTATAAGATACATAAACTGTATGGCATAAGCATTCTCAACTCAACTTCACACTCTACATCGTTTTATCAACTTAGTATGCCAGCTTTTTAAGTTTGGTGGAATCTGGTATTCCACACCTACATGTCTCTGAATCCCACCCGTGTACTGATGCCAAGATGAACTGAACCAGGGACGAATTTTTCTCTTATATGGAAACGTGAATATATTCCAAACTGGAGTGAGCTCTCATCAGTGGTTTGCCTATGGTAATTACTTTGTGCCTTGTAATGGGTCACGTAGTATCCTCATAAGGGTGCGTCTGAGTCCTAGACCCTCTCCCATTCCAATACCTGTAAATATCACCTTATTTTGAAATAGGAGCTTTACAGATATAATAAAGATCTCAGGGTGAGATCATCCTGAATTTAGAGTGAGTCATGGGTATTTGGGACACAGAAACACAAGCAAGGTCATGTGAAGATAGAGACAAAGGTTAGAGTTATGCTGTCACAAGCCAAGGAGTGCCAGGAGCCAACAGAATCTAGAAGAGGCAAGGAAGGATTCTTCCCTAGAGCCGTCAGAGGATGTATGGCTCTGCCTCCACCTTGATTTTGGTCTTCTGGCCTCTATAATTGAGATTTTTTTTTTCTTTTTTTACTATTTTAAGCCACAAATTTTGTAGCAATTTCTTTTGGCAGCACTAGGAAACTAGTTAATACCTCTATTATTTGGTTAAACAAAGAACACTATTAAGTATTTTTAAAACAATGTACATCAGTGTTGACTATGGTAAGCATACAGTTTATAATCAGATAGGTTTCTGTGTAAAATTTCATGTTATTATATTGATTTGTTTTAACCATACAAGACTTGCTTGGATGTGGTACCACTGAATACCATCCCCATTCCCTCCTGTCCCACAGCTTTTTGAAATGTATGGGGCTTTGTTCTAGACTGAACATTCCTTTTCCCTCAAATTTCATATGTTAAAGCCCTACCCCACAATGTGACAGTGTTGGGAAGTGAGGCCTTTGAGAATTAATTAGGTTTAGACAAAGTCATGAGCGTAGGGCCCTCATCAATGGAATTAGTGTCCTTAGAAGAACAGGAAGAGAGTCTATAGAGTGCTCTCTCTCTCTCTCTCTTTCTCTCTCTATCTGCTATGTGAGGATACAGCAAGCCGGGAAGAGGACCCTCACCAGGAAACAAATTTGCTAGCACCTTAATCTTGCCCTTTCCAGCTTCTACAATTGTGAGAAATGTCTGTTGTGTAAGCAATTCAGTCCATGATATTTTGTTATAGAAGCCTGGACTGACTGATAAAGGCTGGAACATGCTGGAGAGATGGTACAAAAACTAATTTTAGAAAAATATTTTAAGTTGTAAGATCTGAAGCAGAAGTCACTTACATATTACCATTTACATCACCAAATTACTCCATTTACAGTATAAATTAAGGAAATTTATGTTTTATTCAAGCCTTTTAAAATCAGCACACCCACCTTGCAGAAGTAATTAATAACCCATGATTATTAATTATGTTTGCCAAGTTAATTTTCATCCAGTATTACTTTCAGGGAAAGTTTGAAATTGATGAATCATCTCCCCTTTGAGATGTCACTTGTAGAACTAAAGGCTACCTATAATTTCTGTAATTGCTACTCTTTAATGGAACTTTAAACTTCTAAGAAAAATATTTCAATATATTGTTAAATTGACTTCAATGACTAAGATTGTGGTGGAGAGGATATTTCCCCAAACTAACTCTTTCTCTGACACTTAGGGGTTCATTGTAATAGTAACACCTTGCTAGCAATCATCTGCTAGTGATTTGCTCATGGAAGAAGAAGGCTAAGGAAATTTAGGTTTGATGACCTTTTTCAGAGTTTCTGGGAAAGCAAAACCTTCTCTCTACTACTCACTGCAAACAAGCATGTTGTGCAAGCTACTGCTGCCAACCAGGTCACATCCATTAGTGAAGTCAATGCTGTGGAGAGAGACATTCAAACCTGGGTCACTGATAGTATCATTTTCAATTTCTGACCCAATCAATTCTGGGGCTTCCAATTCCTCTCTCCATGGTCTTATGTGAAATAATACATTTTTTAAACTGTTGAAGTCATATTGAGCTGAAATTTCCCTTAATTACAACTCTTACTATTTTAACTATTTATGCTAAGTTTCTTTGTTCCAGAAAAAGTACTTTAACTCGGCCGGGCGTGGTGGCTCACGCCTGCAAGCCTGTAATCTCAGCACTTTGGGAAGCCGAGACGAGCGGATCACGAGGTCAGGAGATCGAGACCATCCTGGCTAACACGGTGAAACCGCGTCTCTACTAAAAAAAACAAAAAATTAGCCGGGCGCGGTGGCGGGTGCCTGTAGTCCCAGCTACTCCAGAGGCTGAGGCAGGAGAATGGCGTGAACCCAGGAGGGGGAGCTTGCAGTGAGCCGAGATCGCGCCATTGCACTCCAGCCTGAGCGACAGAGCGAGACTCCGTTTCAAAGAAAAAAAAAAGTACTTTAACTCATTTTCATTTTTGTAGGACTTGAATTTTTTAGGGCAGTTTCAGTTTCACAGAAAAATTAAGAGGAAGACATAGAGATTTACCATATATATGTAGTAATATATATTATATATGGTAATATACCATATATTACTATATATATATAAAAAGCATGTGGAGGCAGGGTATATTACATATATATATATACACACACACACCCTGACATAATATATATATATATATACACACACACCCCCTGACATAATGTGTATATATAATATATATTATATATTGTATTATATATGTAATATATCCTGCCTCCACATGCATGGCCTCCTTCATTATCAGTATCTTCCTCCAGAGTGGTACGACTGTTAAAATTGCCTCTACATTAATACAATTTTATTACCCAGTGGTAAATATACATAACATAAAAGGTACCATTTAATCATTTTCAATTCTAAAACTCAGTGATATTGAATACATTCACAATGTTCTATAATTAACACTGTTTTCATAACTTTTCTATCACATCAAACAGAAGTTCTGTACCATTAAGCACTAATTCTCCATTCCCCTTGCCCCAGCCTCCATGCCCTGGAAACATGCAATCTGCATTCCCTCTGCATGAATTTGACTATTCATGATCTTTCATATAAGTAGAATCATATACTGTTTGTCCTTTTGTGTCTGGCTTATTTTATTTAGCATAATGTTTTCAAGGTTTACCCATGTTGTAAACATGTATCAGAACATCATTCCCTTTTTATGGCTAAATAATCTTCCCTTGTATGTACATGCCACATTTTGTTTATCTACACATACAGGTTTGTTTTCACTTTTTGACTCTTGTGAATAAGAATGAGTGATGGTATCTGGTGTGTGCATACAGCCATTTTCTTACTAAAGGCCAATAGCATCAAGCAGTCTACTAATGGTTGTTATTTATCTGATTAGGATCCAGAGTTCCAAAAAGGTTAATTCTTATTTTTTCCAGTTTAATGGCAGTTTTTGTGGAGGGATTGACTTCTATAACTCCCTATTCCAATCTTCTAAAATCCACTTTAAAAGAATGGTTTAAATTGTGTGCTTGTAGGATGAAATTGATAAACAATTATTTTAATAACTTTCAAAATTACATCATAGAGATAATGTCCTTTGACTATTGGGTGTTCACATATTTGGCATGTTATGAACAACTTTCTGGAAGATAAAGGCCTTTTATCTCATACTTAATATTAAGACAGGAACCAGTGTGCTAGCAATGGCTTTTGGGTTTGATGTGATATATTTGTATGTAATGATTTTTTAAAACTTAGAGAGAAAAATCCTCTCATACAAAACAAAATAGTTTTTACTGTTATGAGAAAGTAGTTATTAATTACTTATAAAACATGCAAGTATCTTTATGATATTTGGTGATTTATTTTTCTCCAGCCATCTTGTCTTGTTGTTAGTGGGGAAAAAAATAGGGATGCTCTTTATCTATGAAAATGTGAAAAGTATATACACATTTTAACTATACATGGTTTCCCTAAAAATTCTTCTTCTGTTTTTAATCCTCTAAAATGATCATTGATATGTACAAATAAATATTGATGATAGCAACTGAAGGATCATTTTTGCTGTTATCAGAAATTGAAAATACTGTAACAGTCTATCAATAGAGAAATGGTTATGTACATTATGATACATAGCATATGTCCATATTTAGAATACGTACCAAATGTATACAACAAAGTACAATGAATACATGATTATACTAAGATGGATAGGCATGGATCCACATATTACTCTGTTTGTACATGGTCTTTTCCAAACAGAAATACAACGTAAGAAAGAAGAAAAGAAAAATAAAGAGAAAGAGAATAAAGGCGACAAAATAAAATATAAACCAGGATGCATAAGCTGGTCTCACCTTAGGGCTGGAACACCAGTAAAGCTTCTCTTCTCTGGAAAAAGTTTAGGTCTCTGAAGTTTTCTCAGTGCATCATAACTGACAGCAGCAGGAATATGGTTTTGCTAAAGGCAACAGAAAAACAAAACAGTCTCAAGATTTAAATATTAATCCAAAGGTTAAACTTTTTACCTTAATGTTGCTGCTTTCTGTATGCACATCCCACAGGATGTAGGAAGGTGGAAAGGATGAAGGAATGTGGAAAATGTAGAAAATTAGAAAATAAGGTAAATTTAAAAGGTAATACGACTAACATTCATTCATTCACATTAAGCTCCTACCTTGTACCACATTCTATTGTAGACACTGCGGATATAGCAGTGAAAAAAAGAAAATAAAGAAAAATATGCCTTTTGGAGCTTACATTCTCTTGGAAGGAGATGTGTAACAACATAAATAATTAAACTACATAATATGTTAAGTGTTGCTAAGTGCTATGGAGGAAAGTAAAGCAGACAAAGCAAATAAAGAACACGAGGAGGAGATATAATTTTAAGTAGGGAAATAAGGAAGGCATGACGGAGACAGTAGCATTTGAGTGAAAGACTTGAAGAAGGTGATATGGTTTGACTGGGTCCCCCACTAAATCTAAAGCTTGAATGGTAGTTCCCATAATCCCCACATGTCATGGGAGGGACCTGGTGGGAGACAATTGAATCATGGGGGCAGTTACCCCCACGTTGCTGTTCTTGTGATATGAACGAATTCTCATGTTCTCTGAGGGTTTTATCAGGGTTTTTTCCCCCATTTTGCTTGGCACTTCTCCTTGCTGCCACCACGTGAAGAAGGATGTGTTGCTTCCCCTTCCACCATGGCTGTAAGTTTCCTGAGGTCTCACCAGCTGTGCAGAACTGTGACTCAATTAAAACTCTTTCCTTTATAAATTACCCAGTCTAGGATATGTTTTTATTAGCAGCATGAGAAGGAACTAATCCAGGAGATAAGGAAACAATTCAGGGGGGAATTTGAAGACAGGTGTTTTCAGTCAGAGAAACCATGTACAAAGCATCTAATGTGAGAGTGCTATGGTCTGAATGTTGACAACCCCCCCCCATTACTGTTGAAATGTAATTCACAGTATGATACTATTAAAAGTTAAGGTCTTTGGAAGGTGATTATGTCATGAATACAGAGCCTTCATGAAGGAGATTGGTGCCTTTATAAAGGATGCCTGAGGGGGTTGGTTTGTCCCTTCCACCATATGACGACTCCACCATGTGAAGAAGAAGATGGGTCTATGAACTAGGAAATAGGGCCTCATCATATAAGGAATATGTGAGCACTTTGATCTGGGACTTAGCTTCCAGAACTGTGAAAAATAAATTTCTGTCATTTATAAGCTACTTAGTCTACGGTATTTTGTTATAGCTGCTCGAATGGGCTAACACAGAGACAATTCCCAGCCTGCCCAAAGAGCACCAGGAAGTGTTGGGTACAGCAAAGCTGGAACAGAGGCATGAGGGGAAGAGCAACAGGGCTGTAATCAAAGAGGTGTGCCTGGTGGGGAGCATGAGTAGAGCTGTATAATCTGTACAATAATGACTCAGAGTGGAATTAGAAGTCCTTAAAAGTGAGTGAGCAGAGTGGCATGATCTCCATGATACTATGTTATATTCTTGCTTGGGTATTGAGAATAGACTGAGGGTGAGGGCTAATGCAGAAGCAGGAAGGGGGATAAAAATTCAGATGAGACATGATTTTGGCTTGGCCTGGGTGGATAACAGCAGTAGTAAAAATTACTTAAATGTTTTGAAGGTGGGTTTGCTGAGAAGTAAAGGATGTGTGGAGAAAACTGGATTGAGAATTGTATAAGGACTGTATTGTATATTGTATGAGAGTGTAGATCCAGGATGAGTCACAGTATTTTTGAAGTTGTAGTAAATGGAATGAACTAGAAAGATAGAAGTTAATGTTCAGAAGGCAGGAGACTTAAAAGTTAGATTGTAAAAATTTGCAATTAGTAATAACGTGGTTTGAGCTGAGATCATGAGATTGAATAGCTAGATACTGAAGATAGCAAGTACATTGGAAATGACGAGGTCAAATGTCAAAGAAGGTAAGTAATTTAAATGAGACATCAAAATAATGGCAGTTAAGTCAGGTTGTAAAGACTGCAAAGAATGAGGGAAAGTGACTAAACATTGGGAGAGTGATCAATATAATCAAATGGTATGAGATTCTAAGCTGGAGGGGTTTGAGGAGAAGGAAGTAGAAGTATTCTGCAAGAGGACACTTATTTTACTTCTAGAGGCAGTGGTTAGAGCGCTGAGGGTGAGAACTAGTCTGCACTTAGGGGGCGACATGAGAAGCAGCAGCATCAGTGAGAGACAGATGACAATAAGAATGAAAATGTAAAGGGAAAATTGAGAAACTTATAAAAATTGAGATTCTTCTATGCACTCTGTACGTTTCTTACAGAAGCTTTCAACGCATTTAATTTCATTTAAATCTTGCAATACTCTTGAGAGATATTATCATTCCCTTTTTACCAAAAAAGGCTGAATGGCCAAGATCACATAAAATCACATAAATAATAGAAGTCAAAAGTATGACTTTAACCCATCTAGTGTTATAAGAACCACATAATCTTCAGTAAGTTGAAAGTATCTTAATTAAATTTAAAAAATTAATAAATATTTTTTCAAAAGATGTATTCAAGTTATCAATTTGAAGAAAAATGAACATATTACTTAGAAACAGCCCTGGATTACAGTCCCAATTATATCACTTAATAATTGTGTGGTTTAGGTAAGCCATGTAAAGTTGCTGTACTACTTAAATTTAAAATAAAGACAATTTTACCTAAACATAAAATTGTTGTAATGTTATTGTGCAGTTATAAATCACTTATTAAATTATAAATTTATGATAAGTATTAAACAGAATACTCAATTTTAAGCCATAAGGTCTTCTATTAGAAAAATATTCAAATATAATGTGATACATCACTCATTTTTATAAAGAAAAATATAAATTTAATTATAGCCTTAATAAAAAATTTTGGAGGTGCATTACCAAGGCCAAATTTATATTTCATAAAATGAACAAATTTAAGATGTGTACCTTAACTTTATGTATTTCTGCACTCATATTCACACCAGCCATATCAAGATAAAGAACAGTTTCACTACCACAGAAAATATTGTGCTGCTTTATTCCAGTCGATAACAACCACTGGTCAAATTTGTCTGGAATCATATGCTTTTGTGTCTGACCTATTTTACTCAACATGATGATTTGGAGATTCATCTATGCTGTTTTATGTGTCAATATTTTATTTTGTATTGCTATGTATTATTACTCTGTAAGTCAATATCATAATTTATCTCTTCTCCACTTTATAGATGTTACATCCAGTTTTTGCCTACAAAAAAAACCTGCTGTGAATAATTTTATATAGGTCTCTATTGTGTGAATACACACCCTCATTTATTTTTGGTATATACCTATAAATTGAATCACGATGTCACTGGGTATGTGTGCAGGTTAACTTTATAAGAAATTGCCAAACTTCTTTAAAATATAGCTGTAAATTTACTCTCCCACCACAAATGTATGAGATTTTCTTTGCTTCATAACCTCTTCAACACTTGCTATATTCAGTCCCCAATTTTTTTTCTTAAGAGATGGAGTCTTGCTCTATCACACAGGCTGGAGTGGAGTGGCACAATCATACCTCACTGCAGCCTTGGACTCCTGGGCTCAAGCTATCCTCCCATATCGGTCTCCAGGTATTTAGCCATTTTAATTTTACCAGTTCTCTTGGATACGTAATGACATCTCACTGAGGTTTTTATTTTCATTTTTTCTGATGACCAACTATGTTCAGCACATTTTCTTATCCTGATTCCCCAATTGGCTGTCTTCTTTTATGAACTGACCGTTCAAGTCTTTTGCCCACTTCTAATTGAGTGATGTAACTTCTGCATAACAATTTGTAGGATTTATTTACTTTCCATTGAAATATTTTGTCAGGTCTATGTATTTCAAATGTGTTATCTAACTGCGACATTTCTATTCATTTTTCATTGAGGTAAAAACATAACTTGTGATCTGTCCTCTTAGTAAGGTTTTAAATGTACAATATAGCACTGTTAAGTATAGGCGTGATGTTGCACAGAAAATCTTTAGAACTTACGCAACTTACACAACTGAAACTTTATACCTGTTGAACAGCAACCCTTCTTCCTCCTGCCCCTAACCATTCTATTCTCTATGAGTTTGACTATTTTAGAAAGCTCATATATGTGACATCATGCAGAATTTATCCTTCTGTGACTGGCTTATCATGATATCCTCCAGGTTCATCCATGTTCTTGCAGATGGCAGAATGTCCTTCCTTCTTAAAGCTGAAAATATTCCATTGTATTTATACACCACATTTTCTTTATTCATTTATGTGCTGATGGACATTTAAGTTTTCAAATTTTGTTGTTTTGTGAGTAATGCTGCAAAGAACATGGGTATGCAGGTAACTCTACCACATCCTGATTTCCATTCTTTTGGACATATGCCCAAGAGTAGGACTGCTGGATCATATATTGGTTCTATTTTTAGTTTTTTTGAGGAACCTCCATACTGTAATCCACAGTGGCCGAACCAATTTACATCCCCAGCAAGAGCGTACAAGGGTTCCAGTTTCTCCACATCACTGCCAACACTTGTTATGTCTTGTTTTGTTTCATAATGGCTCTCCTAATGAGTGGTAAGTGATATAATATTTTGGCTTTTATTTGTATCTCTCTGATCATTAGTGATGTTGAACATCTTTTCATATACCTTTTGGCTATTTGTATGTCTTTGAAGAAAATTTATTCAATCTTTTTGCCCCCCTTTTTAAGTTATTTTTTTCTGTTGTTGTAGGAGTTCCTTACATATGTAATGAGGTTTTTTTGAATAAATGAATATAAGTTTAATATAGTAAAAACATTAACACAATTTTTATTTTATGTTTAATACATTTTCTGCTCTAGAAAAAAAATCATTATTTATCTCACCCAAGATCATTATGATGTTCCTCAAAGTATTCTTCTAGAAGCTTTAGCATTCATATTTAGGTCTGTGATCCATCTTACATTGAATTTTGTGCATGATATGAGTGAGATATTAAGACTAATGAAAATGCTAATTATAATAGATTCTCAGGTCCTAGCCAAAGCTTTTGTATACTGGGATCTCTTGAGATCTAGGTCATTTAAAGGTAATAGACGATCAGTATTGATGAATTTGTTTTCTTTTTCTATCTAGTGATTCTCAACCTTTGTTCCATATTAGAATCAAGTGGTTTGCTTGCTTGCTTCTTTTTGTCTTTGCTTTTAGTAGCACTGCCTCAATCCTACCTTCAAAAATTCTAATTTGATAACCTGGACATCAGGATTTTTGGGGAGAAGGGGACAGGGTCTCACTCTATCACCTGGGCTAGTGTACAGTGGCATGATCACAGCTCATTGCAGCCTCAAACTCCTGGGCTTGAGGGATCCTTCTGCCTCAACCTCTCACATAGCTTGAATTACAGGTGTGAGCCACCATGCCTGGTGACACTGGGATTTTAATGGGTCTCTGGGTGAGTCTAATATAAAGCCAAGTTTGGGAATCATTGACAAGCTCCAAAAGCCTGGAAAAAATGTATACATGAAGATAGAGATTAGTGTTACTCTCTCCTTGGATGAAAACCCCTGACAAGTTTTATTGATTTATTGGGAAACAACATTGGAAGCAGTTTCTCCTCTGCCTCTTTAATCCCTTGGCCAACGCAATCTTGAGTTAAGCGCAGTCTCACTATTAAGTCTTGTAGGGTGAATACATCTTTACTTCCAGTTTTCATCCACTTTATCTTCATCTCGGAGAATTATTGTGAAAAAAAAAAAAGTTCTCAGTGTATAACTCATATTAAGTAAAAGACATGTAATACATTGTAATAATTCAGCAAATATTGCTTGTGGTGTTTTACCTACTTTACACATGTGGAAAATTTAAGGAAAAATTTTAAATAGTTCTACATTATTTTCATAGAAGAATCACAGTAAAATAAGAACTTTGCAAGTCCACATTTTACTACGTTGCATTATTTGAAAAGAAAACTAATTTTGAAGTGTCTGATGATTTCAAAACACGGTTCACTATTATTTCATTAGTGAAAGAAGATGCATGCGAGCATTTGAAATAGAATTTTTAACATTGACTTAGATACTTTCTCTAAATGTATTAGACATAAAAGTAAATAGTATTTATATATTTGTTTGTAAGATGCTATAATTTTAAATTTAAATGTCTATGTAGCTTTTTCTGAAGGAAGCTGCTCTGACATTGTGGAAGCAATTTGGGGACATTTCTCTTACTTGATTGATTCTTTTCTTATCCAGATGCTACCCATTTTCAAGATTGCACAAACTCCACTTCTATAAGGGAACTCAGCCCACAAGGCTCTCATGTACATCAGTAACATCTATATCTTTACTGAATTACATATGCCTTGCCCTATCAAATGAAATTATGTACCACGAAGTCAGGATCATATCTCAACTCTTCTGTAAACTCCACAATGCATAGCATAGTGTTACTCATGGAAAAATCAAATACTTGTGATTGAAATGGGTTAACATTCTTCTCATGTTAAGGAACATACTTCTTTAATTGTACCTGTTGTTATGCCGGGTGTAAGACTTATTCTTTTCTCCAGAGTTGATATCAATAATTTAAAAACATATAAGAATTGGAGATAAATGGGGAAACAAACAATTTATGAAGGTCAAAACTATGAAGTAAATTTCAGTTCATGGTTATTTGGTAGAAATACTAGGTTGGAGAGTATGGTTCACATTTGAGACCAAATTAAATATTATTTAATAGATTTCTTTCACACTTAGTTGAAGGAAAGCATGCAGTAAAAACCTAGCTTGACCAAAAACCTGACTTGCTCTTGGCAAAAATTGTGGTGGAGACTGAGAGAGAGAGAGAGAATGAATAACCTCTACCCTGTGGGAGGGTCTTTCCATTGCAAATGACGCAAGTAGAGAATCTGATGAATCCGAGCCTAGGAAAGTCAAAAAGGAAGCAGATTGGCATCCAGTCATTGAAGACACTAAACCTGAACACTAAGAAGACATGATTAAATAAATGTCAGGTTCTGAACAATTAAACTGGTTACTTCTGTTACATTGAAGGAGAGAATACCTTGGAGTCTAACACAGTTTTCCAAATAAAAAGATAATAAGGCAGAAGATGACACTTTGTTTACTAAATTTTCTAGTTCATATTGAATAGTTTAATTAGAACTTGAAAGCCAAGGTCTCAGGGAACCATTTTTAAAGTGCTTTTCAAAGAGCTAATATTAAAATAATTATATGTAAATAACAAATAATTAGATATGAGGCTCACAAATGAAATATTTATGTTCATATAATATGGCTAATGTATGGTAACAATAGTATTAAATCTATAGATCTATGATGGGAGAATTACTAGAAAAACAAGAGTAGGTCTCCCAATCCATGAGCATGGAATGATTTTCCATTTGCTTAGGTTATTAGTTTTCAGCATACAATTCTTACACATATTTTGCTAAATGTATTTCCAAGGGTTTATTTGTATAGTATTGTGAATATAATTATTATCTTAATTTTTTTAAGAGATAGAGTGTCTTTCTCTATCTACCAGGCTGGAGTGCAGTAACTTGCAATCATAGTTCACTGCAACCTTGAACTCCTGGCTCAAGTGACCTTCCTGCCTCAACGTCCTGAGTACCTAGGACTGAGAGGTGAATGCCACCATGCCTGGCTAATTTAAAAAAATAAATAAATTCATAGAGAAGAGGATCTGTCTTTGTTGCCCAGGCTGGTTCTGAACTCCTGGCCTCAAGTAAGCCTCCTGACTTGGCCTCCCAAGGCACTGGGATTACAGGCCTGAGCTATTGAGCCCAGCCACTTCCATTTCCTGATGGCTTTATTGATGTATTCTTCATTGTATTGACTATAACTTCCAGTGCAATATTGGATAGAATTAGGAAGAGTAAATTTTATAGACATCTTTGGCACGTCACCAATTTTGAGGGGCAAATATCCAGTCTTTCACCATTAGCTATGCTGTAAAATGTAGTGTTTTTGGTTGTTGTTGTTGTTGATGTCCTCTATCAGGTTGAAGAATTTCCATTCTTTTTTTTTTTATTAATTCACATTAGATTCTGTCAAATCCTTTTCCTGCATCATTGAGATAATCATTTCATTTTAGTTCATTTTATAACATAGTATATTACATTACATTTTGTATTTAAAATACAAAAACAGTCTTGCATTTCTGGGATTAATTTCACTTAGTCATGGAGTGCAATCATTTTTATATATGGTTGAATTTAGTTTGATAATATTTTATTGGAGATTTTTGTGTCTATATCTGTGAGGTATATGGATCTGTAATTTAATTTTTATTTTTTTCTTTTTAAAAATTTTTTTCTTTCTCTTTTCATTTTTGCTTTTGAATATAGGCCTTATAACATCAATTGGGAAGTTTCTTTTTCTATTTTCTGAGTATGTGTATCATTTCTTCATTGAATATGCAAAATAACTTACCAGTGAAGTCATGTGGTCCTGTATATTTCCTTATGAAAGACTTTTAATTGCTAATTCAACATATTTATTCAGATTTTCTATTCATTTTTATTTCAGCTGTGGTAATTTATATATTTTTAAGACTTTCTACCTTAAATATAAGTTGTATAATTTGTGGTCACAAAGTGTTTCATAGTATTTCCCTTATAATTCATATATTTGGATGGGATGGGGGAGGATTGGTAGTAGTAACCTTTGCTCCTGATTTTGGTAATCAACACATTATCTCTTTTTTCTTTCTTTTTTTTTTTTCTTTCTTTTTTGAGACAGAGTTTTGCTGCTGTCGCCTAGGCTGGAGTGCAATAGCAGGATGTGGGTTCACTGTAACCTCCGCCTCCTGGGTTCAAGTAATTCTGCCTCAGCCTCCTGAGTAGCTGGGATTACAAGCACCTGCCACCATGCCTGGCTAATTTTTGTATTGTTAGTAGAGATGGGGTTTCACCACGTTGGCCAGGCTAGTCACGAACTCCTGGCCTCAAGTGATCCACCCGCCTCGGCCTCCCAAAGTGTTGGGATTACAGGGGTAAGCCACCATGCCCGGCCTTTTTTATTATTCATCATCTAAGTATTTCTCAATTTTATCTCTTCAAAGATTCAAACTTTGGATCTTTAAATTTCTTTATTGTTTTTTGTTTTATTTTCTGTTTGATTGATTTCTGCTCTAATCTGTATTATTTATTCGTTTTTCTTGCTTTGTGCTCAGTTTAGTCTTCCTTTTCTAATTTCTAAGGTTGGGAGAAAGAATTATTAAGAACTCTCTTTTTAAAATAACCTTTAAATTTTGATATAATTGTAGATTTACTTACAGTTATAAGAAATAATATAGAGAGATTTCTTGTAACCTTATCTCAGTTCTCCCAGTGGTAACATCTTGCAAAAGTATAGTACAATATCATAACCAATATGTGGAGGTTGATATAGTCAACATACAGAATATTTCCATTACCACGGAATCCCTCATGTTGTTCTTTCCTAGCCACATCTATTTTCCTCTTTTTCACCTCATCTTTAACCCTTGATAACCACTAATCTTTCCTCCATTCTCATAATTTTGTCACTTCAGTAATGTTCTACAAGGGAAATTCTACATCATATAATCTTTTGTGGTCAGATTTATTTACTCAGCATAATTCTCTGAAAATTTATGGAAGTTGTTGTCTATATCAATAGCTTGTTTCTTTTTGTTGCTAAGCAGTGCTTCATTGCATGAATGTAATACATTTTGTTTAAACTTATTCACACCTTCAAAAATGTCTGGGTTGTTTCCAGTTTGGGGTTATTAAAAATAAAGCTGTTCTGAATATTTGTGTAAAGTTTTTGAATTAACGTGGTTTTTAAAAATTACTCTGCTGTAAATGCCCAGGAGTGAAATCACTGAGTCATAAAGTCATTGCCTGTTAAACTGTTTGTTTGCTTTTTAAAGAAAGTATCAAATTGTTAGAGAATGGCTTTGTTATTTTACATTCCCATCAACCATGCACCAGTTATGTAGTTTCTTTGCAGCCTTGCTAGCACTCAGTGTTGTCATTATTTTTTATTGTAACTATTCCATTGGGTATATATTGAAATCCCATTGGGGTTTTAATTTTTCATTCCCTAATGGCTAATGATGTTGACGTCTTTTCATGCTCTGATTTTCCAAACATATATTCTTTTCAGTGAAATGTATATTCATGTCTTTTGCCCACTTTCTAATTTGACTTTGTTCACTCTTAAGTTTTGAAAGTTCTTTATATATTCTTGCTACTAGTCTTTTTCAGACACATGGCAAGCAAAAGGGGAAGGAAGGAGCACCTTTTTACTGTCAAGTTGAGATGAAGGTCAAGGTTCCCCATTAGGCCTCCTTTGCCACACAAAAAGTAAATACTCTGTGTTTTTAAGATAAAGTGATGGATGCCAAGAAAGACTCAAATTTTTTTATGTACTAATCATAAAAATGAACTATGATTTATAATTCTTCTCTTCCATTTTCATTATACATAAGAAAACAAAATACATCATTCTCAATAATAAGAATTCTGAGTGAAACTCACCAGTTCACCTTAGCTATATTTTCCCTTTTGGGTTTCTTTTCTTTTACTTTTTTTTCTCTCTCTCCTTTTTCTTTAAAAATTTTGGAGTGTGCAGAGGGATAAGGGTGAGGGAGCGTGGCAAGGAGAGGAGTTCAGATCAGGACAGGGAATGGAGGAGGGCAAGGAGTGAAGGGCACAACCCACAGCCTGGGAAAGAGAGGCATGAAACCCAGCGTGTCAGGTGGACGGATCATGGAATGGGGGGCCAGCGGAGGTTAAGGAAGGAGGGCCCAAAGGTAGGGGTGGGAAAAAGAGAAGAGGAGGAGGAGGAAGTGCGCGTGTGAAGAGTGTTAAGAAAACGACAGGACAGAGCGGGGAGGGGAAAAGCGGGCCGAGGGACAGGGTGAAAGGTGAGAAACGAGGGTAAGAGGAAAGAGGGCCCGGGGCGCTGGGGAGTTGGGGAGACGATGGAGCGACAGGTAGAGCAGCTTGGGCCGAGCCGCGGGGGTGGAATCCAGACGCCGGGCGGGGGAGGGGGCGGCGGGGCGGCGGGACGGTGGGTGGGGGCCACCAGGCGGCGCCGGAGACCACCAAACATTACAGCGAGCGAGCCTGCTTCCTGGAGGGAGTGCAGACAAGGACCAGGAGCGGGAGCCGAGCCTCGCGGCCCGGGGCACGGCGCCGCCTGCCCCTCCCCGGCAGTGCCTCCCGACCCCCTGCCCTCCGCTGGGACATGGCCTGAGGCCCCGCCCGCCGCCCGGGACCCCTCCCCCACGCTGCCCCCGGACCCTCGCCCCAGGACCGCGGGGTCTCTTCCCGGCCCCGCCGCCCGCCCCGGCGAGAACAGGCCCGGCGGGCAAGGCGGCGGCGGACCGAGGGAGGCCTGGCCCGGCAGCGGGGAGAAGGGTGCGGCGCAGCCCGAGTTTCCCACCTTTTATCCTGGCCCAGACGCGGCTGGGGCGGACGGGACCTCTCGCGCTCTGCCTCCTCCTCTTGCTTCATGGAGCCATGCGCCTGGGTGGGGGCTCCCGAGAGAAGCTGGCCTGCGGGCGGGCCGGACGCGCTGCGCGGACGGGACGGGGCGAAGGAGGCCGGCAGGCGGAGGAGGAAGCGGCGGGGCGGCGGCGGCGGCGGCGGCCGGGAAGAACTAGAGGTATTCCCCGGGCGGCTGGAGGACTGAGTCGAGCCGGGACCCGAGTCCTCCGGTATCCCAGCAGCCACCGGAGGCAGTGAGGTAATGGAGGAAGAATGTAGGGAGTCCTCCGGTGGACCACACTCCTTCTAGCGAGCCGCGGAAACCATAGAGATCAGGGCTCAGCCGGAGGGCCGGCCCACTGCTGTCACGTGGCCTCCATCCGTGCGCTTTATTGGCTGGTGCTGGCTTTACGGGGTTGAATTTTGGACGCTGCCTGCCATTCGTGGGACCGAGTTTCAGGCAGCTGGAATAAAGAGAGATATCGGGGGAAAGCCGCGAGAAGGCCAGCGTCCCTCGCTGGGAGCAGAGCTAGCCGAGTAGGGCGCCCGGCTGTCAAACTGGCCGGCGCAGTGCACGCTGGGCCGCCCCGGAGCGATCGCAGAGCCCGTCGGGAGTCGTAGTCCCGGACGGGCCCGCGGCATCGTCCGCGACGCAGCTCGGGATCCGGGTCGGGGTGTCGGCCGGGTTGCTGCCGGGCACCGTCGAGCGTTAGCCACCCAGCATTGAGCTGCCAGCGGCTGTTCTCCCTAAGCACCCTCGCTCACGTCGCCTCGCCTCGCCTGACCGGCCGCAGCCTTGGATACCAGCCTTAAATCGAGCCGACTACGGCCCAGCCCCGCCCGCGGCGAGGTGCGCGGGGTTCGGTGCGAGCCCCTCGCCCCTGGCCGGGCCAGCCTCTTGATGCACCGGGGACGGGCGCGCCCATCCGACTCTTCGAGGGGCGGCAGGGCCCCATCTGTGTCTTTCGCTCTCGAGCCCCCAGCTAGAGTTGGCTTCAGCGGAATACCTACTGTGCGGGATTATTCAACAAGCCGATTGATCACATTCTTCAGCTCTAGCAGTGCAAAGGCTTCACTGAAAAAGAACATTACAACTTTTTTGAAAGAAATTTGGGGGTAAATTTAATTTTAAATACTGATTTTTGATAACATTTGATCTTATGACAGCATTTGTATTTTTAATTACAGATAGGATTACACTAAAAGTCATTTCTGACCTGCTCCCTTACCCTTATGGCTAAAATAAACTGCTAGGCCCTGAAGCAAAGGCGAGCCATGTTCTAGAGCAATGTCTTTCTTGTATTAAAATACAGCCCCATGCTCACAAAAAAAAAAAAAAAAAATTTTGGAGTGTAAACATATACATCATCTTAATTTGAGTCCTTATGTGTTGACGGTGTGCAGGGAAGAATGGGAAAGTAACTGTAAGTGGAGCCCAGAAAGAACTAACAAATTCATGAAAAAGTGACATTATTGCTGGTCTATTTTTTTTTTAATTTTCTGCTTCCTCACACTCTCCCATACTAAATGAATTATTTAGTGGTTTTTTTTTTGTTTTTTTTTTTTTGTTTTTTTTTGTGATACGGAGTTTTGCTATTGTTGCCCAGGCTGGCACGATCTTGGCTCACCGCAACCTCCGCCTCCCAAGTTCAAGTGATTCTCCTACCTCAGCCTCCCAAGTAGCTGGGATTACAGGCATGCACCACCGCGCCCGGCTAATTTTTTGTGTTTTTATTAGAGACGGGGTTTCTCCATGGTGGTCAGGCTGGTCGCAAACTCCCGACCTTAGGTGATACGCCCACCTCGGCCTCCCAAAGTGCTGGGATTACAGGCGTGAGCCACCGTGCCCGGCCGACAGGTGTTTTTTATGAGTTACAGACTATGTGCTTTCAGAATGAGGCAACTGATTTAAGGATGTAAGCATAATTTAAGGATATTGAAAATGATATAGGAATAAATTTGTTTAGTCATTCATGGATTTATTCATTTTCAGATGACTATGTGTGTGAATATTTAAGAATTCTAAAACCGCATGGGATTACTTATAACTGTATAGGAGCCTAACACGATAATGGAATCAGAATATACTTTGCTGAAGGTATGAGGCTTTTAACTGAAAGTCTTCTCTCTACGTTTTTATGTCTGTAACAAGAATCCACTGAAGACCTACATTTCCCGGAAGGTTAACAGCCCCCTTCTCAGTTTTCCTGGTAAAGTGTTTTTATATTGGTAGAATACCTTCTGTCACACTCTATATTTTTCTTATCTCAAGTAGAAAAAATTTTTGCCCTTTTGCTTGGGACTGTTAACAGCCCTGGTAGTGGAAAAGTAGAAGGAAATGATTCTGTGAATTTTCTGTTATATAAATTTTAGCCAGTTTAGGACTTTTGAATGAGGGGCCATACAGCCAAGGATTTAGGATTTCAGCTCAGGAAAGAAAACTACATAGGTGTTTAATCGTGTCCTAGCCACTTATTAGCTGGGTAACTTTGAGCAAGTTTTATACATATCCTTCCCATGAGTTTTTCATTTCTAATACTGGCTGTGTAATACAGTATGTTTCATAGGCTTGCTGTAATAATCGATGGGATGTATCTAATAGTGTTTATTTTACTGTAACTGGGCCACAGTTAGGAAGTTCTCAATTAAAATTAGCTGTCATTATTCCTAGTATTAATATGGTGATGAACAGCTAAAGAGCATTTAAATAATTATCATTAATATGGATAAATTTTGACCATACCTGAATAAATATTTATAATATAACTGTTGAGAGTATACAAGTTTAATATTTTAGGGAAATACAATGTCAAATTCTATCAAGCTCTATTCTCAAACTAAAACAATAGCAGTTTGCTTTCAGATATTTTGAATATTATTGTGACATTTCCCCCTTCTACCTTTCTGGGACCTTGGACACAGGAACCATGTAAGGGTAAATAGTCTAGGTCTTCGTTGTGGGACAGGGGTGATATACTACAGTTCCACAGGGGCTGAGCCAGGTTTCAAGGGTGAGATAGAGAGCTGATGGTAAAAATAACAATGAGAGCAAAGGCCAAAATGTATGGAGTATTTATTATGTGTCAGACATTTTTCACTAAGCATTCTAGTACAATATTTCTTCAGATCTATGAAGATCTTAATCTTAAGTAGTAAATGGTTTTATTATAACCACTATACAAAATAGAAACACTAACATAAAAAGGTTAAATAATCTGTTTAAATTATCTTGGATTATCAACCCAATCAGCTGTGTCCTCAGAACAGAAGCTGGTAGCACTACACTGAACTATACCACACTTGCAAGCCTTCAGAGGAAAATTCCCTAAGAGAAAATGGTATCTATGACTCAATATTTCTTCCCATACCCTCAGTGACTTACGGTATTTATTTACTAAATGCCAAAGCAGATAGTCCAATAGGAAATACGTAGCTAAATGGCCTGCGAAGAGAAGGGAATGTCAAATAACAGGCAAAATAGAATCTGACACCCTAGGTCTCAGCAAGTGTTTTGAATGGACAATAAAGAAAGTGACTAGAATGTAACCTCTGAAAAAATGTTGTGAAGCACCAATGGCCTTGAAAAAATCTAGGGAGCTGATGTAAAGGACATCCACTTCATAATGACAATTATTGAACAAATTACTTGTTGGAGATGGAGTTGCAGACAAAACAAATATTTACCACTGCTTTAAAATACATTTATTGTACTCAGGAGAAGAGTCTGGAACTGTGGTTTCAGAATGAGCTTATCCAAAAGTAAGAAGAGGACTGGGGCATACCTTTTAAAATAATAATGATATATTTATAATCATCCTAGTATGATTTATTTACCTTTTAGTAAATCAAGTTCTCAGAAAACTAAAGTAAAAAAATCTTAACATTACATATGCAGGACTTAATCTGAATAATCATAAATTTTCATAAACTTAATTTACATACCACACCATAGTAGCTGTGATATAGTAAATTAATAAGTTTTTTGTACTATGGTGTAGCTCTTTCATCCTAAGAATAAAAAAGATTCTATTATGTCAAAAGACATGCATCTGGATGGTTAAAAAAATCCAATCATACATAACTGAAGAAAATGTAGGTATTTTAGTGGAATAAGAATGTGATATATGAAAACAGAAAAATAAATATCTTCAATGTTACTTAAAGAAACAGAATTAACAAAGATGTATCATGGAAGAGAGGATAGTTCTGTAAAAACACGTAAAATAACTTTCAAAGATGAAAATTTTACATATGTAAAAACATTTGTCAATGAAAGTAATAATAATTCCATTCATGCATTTGTTCATGTATAACCAATAACTTACTTGTGATGCCATAGAAAAAATTCAAGCATCAAACTGAAAAGCAAATTTTAATAGGTAAGAAACTAGTGGCCTTTAAGCTGACAATATATTTGTTTGAATAAAAAATATTATTATTTTAAAATAATCAAATTAGCAAAATACAAAAAAAAGAACATTTCACATGAACATCTTAATTTTTGGTATGTGTTTAAATATCAGGACATTTACTCATATTCTTCATAAACAGAGTTCATAAGTCTTAGTAGATGCTGCCATGTGTAGGCGGGTTGTCTTCTCTAATTATCCTCAGTCCCCACCATTCCATAGTGCCCCCAGTAGAGATATTACTGACATTTTTCATTTATTGCCATAATTTAGCTGTTGTTTTTCACAGTCAGCTTGCCTTCTTTATTTTAATATTTATATACCACGTAGGCATCTCAGTGTTTCACTCTTGCTATGAGACAGCCATAGATCTCTTTTGACCTAGAGTTTTTTATTCTCTTTGTTTTTCAAAATTATTTTCCCTAAAAGCATGGAACCTATGAGCCTCCAAATAGTGCATTTAAACTCAATCACCTCTAGAAAACAATGCTAAACTATTCAGAAAGAATGAAGAGAATAAGTGAATTCTCCAAACCCAGAGCTAATGAGTGCCAGCTCTGAAAATGAGGTCCTTGATTCTTGACATCTGGCCTAGTGTGCCTAGGAAGTATAATCAGTTACTCTGACTCAGTCATTTTAATAATTGAAGTAAACTACTTAACAGTTAAACATTATATACTTAAAATACTTAAATTAGCTTAGATATAATCGAAGAATTTCACTTTTTAACTCCAAATAATGAAGTGTTTGGTTGTAGGGTATTAGATCTTTCATGGAAGAAAGTAGTCCCGTAAGTCTAAGTACAAATTTCAAATGTAAAATAAAACTGATCAAGCCAGAGACCAGGTTTGGCAAAAAGTATCATTTGATATGACTTGTAAAATGTCAATTATTGTGAACAATTTTAAAAAGACCTCATCAGACCATATTGCATGTTCTCGTAAAGGGGAAAAGAAGTATATAACAGCATGTACTGAATACTTTATACCCATTATACATCGGGCTTTTTAGATTCATTCTACCATTTAATTTTTATGGACATGCTGGGGATACAGTATTGTTATCATCCTTATTCTTTAGTGAGAACTGAGATTTACAAAAGAATAAGTAAATTTTCCAAAATTAATTACTGATAATGTGTACACAGACCATTTCCAAATTCATGAGATAATTGCTGTTTTAGTTACTTTGGGCTGTTAAAACAAATTACCGTAGACTGGGTGACTTAATCACAAAACGCGTGTTCTCACAGTTCTGGAGGCTGGAAAATTTAAGATAAAGGTGCTTGCACATCCAGTGACTGATGAGGGCCTGTTTCTTTGTTTGCACATGGCCATTTTCTCATTGTATACTGACATGGCAGAGACTGAGAGAGAGAAAGAGATTATCTCTTTGATGTCTCTTCCTATAAGAGTATTAATCTCATTCACCAACTAATTACTTCCCAAGGGCCCACCACTGAATACTATCACACTGGGGACTAGGGTTTCACCATACGAATTTTGAAGGCACATAGACATTCAGTTTTAGCAACTGCTAACAATATTACTCTTACACAACCATTTTTCTCACTTAAATATTTTCAATTATTTAATAAATGGAAGCAGTGGGATTACCTTGGTATGGCCATAAGAATTTATCTGGGAGATGTCTATGTGTGTGTGCATGTGTGTGTGTATGTTTATCGTGGGGAAGAAGTTTGTGAGTAGAAGCAGCGGATTGAGAATCTGGATAATAAGAAAATATTCTATTGATCCTGGTGATTTGAATGTACGATAGGAGCTGGTTGTCAACTGATTTAATCAGTGGGTATTTCAGTATGAGGCATAGTTGGTGACTGAGCTTTCATGTGGTAATCTGAGGTGAATATTGACATAGAATTAGAATTATAACTCACATAAATTCACACAAAAACATTTTTACATTGCCTACTGATTTTTATACATATAACCAAGAAATAAAGTATATGGGGGCCACCTTTCTCCAGGGATTTATAGGGTAATTAGATGAACTCTACCAATAATTATAAAAATAAGAACTGAAATAACAAATGCATATTCTGAATTACAAAAATCATTCAAAGTAACAAAAAGCCTATATCTTTGATCCCAATAACCTATTTTAATTTTCTTTTTAAAATAAAAGTGTTAGAGGCAAAAAACAGCCATAACTAAACCAAGTACAGATAAAGGAAATAAGAATGAGAAACAGTGTATGTGTGTGTGTATGTGTGTGTGTGTATATGTGGGCATGCCTATAGGTATAGTTGTGTGTGAATTTAAGTGAACACACTTACTAATTGAATAAAATACAGTAAGTGTTTGTATATGTATCTGCATGTTTGTGTCGTATTTTGGAGTTGTTATTCAGCTTTTACAGAATATTCAAATAGAAAACCAAATAAGATTGTCACCTATATTGCATAAATAACCAGAGAAAAGTCACTTATGTGGCCATAAAAGAAATGTTGAACATAGATGCAGAGAATTCTATTTAGAGTAAGAATGCCCACATGTATTACAGTCCCCAAAAAGCAATTAAGCAGAAGAAATTGCTTTCAGAGCTTGGCAAGATTTAAAGCGTTACCATTAAAGTTTGAGTTGGATGTTACTCCATGAAGAGAATATATCCTTAAACACTGCTGCCCTGTGCATCAGAACATACTCACTCCGATATTGGACCTGTTGCTGGTTAGAAATGTCTTGACAAATGGGATCTAATTAAACTAAAGAGCTTCTGCACAGCAAAAGAAACTACCGTCAGAGTGAACAGGCAACCTACAGAACGGGAAAAAAATTTTGCAATCTATCCATCTGGCAAAGGACTAATATCCAGAGTTTACAAAGAATTTAAACAAATTCACAAGAGAAAAACAACCCCATCAAAAAGTGGGTGAAGGAAATGAACAGACACTTTTCAAAAGAAGGCATTTATGTGGCCAAAAACGTGAAAAAAAGCTCATCATTACAGAAATGGTCATTACAGAAATGCAAATCAAAACCACAATGAGATACCATCTCAGGCCAGTTAGAATGGCAATCATTAAAAACTCAGGAAACAACAGATGCCGGAGAGGATGTGAAGAAACAGGAACAGTTTTACACTGTTGGTGGGAGTGTAAATTAGTTCAGCCATTGTGGAAGACAGTGTGGTGATTCCTCAAGGATCTAGAACTAGAAATACCATTTGACCCAGTAATCCCATTACTGGGTATATACCCAAAGGATTATAAATCATTCTTCTATAAAGACATATGCACATGTATGTTTATTGCAGCACTATTCACAATAGCAAAGACTTTGAACCAACCCAAATGCCCATTAATGATAGACTGGATAAAGAAAATGTGGCACATATACACTGTGGAATGCTATGCAGCCATAAAAAAGAATGAGTTCATGTTCTTTGCAGGGATGTGGATGAAGCTGGAAACCATCATTATCAGCAAACTAACACAGGAACAGAAAACCAAACACCACATGTTCTCACTCAGAAGTGGGAGTTGAACAATGACACGTGGGCACATGGAGGGAAACATCACACACTGGGGCCTGTCGCGGGGTGGGGGGCAAGGGGAGGGATAGCATTAAGAGAAATACGTAATGCAGATGACAGGTTGATGGGCAGCAAACCATCATGGCACATGTATACCTATGTAACAAGCCTGCATCTTCTACACATGTATAACTTAAGTATCATAAAAAGAAAGAAATGTTTTCATTAATAATATTTCTCACCTTTTCTAGATATAAATTTAATTCACAGTTGGGCAGGGCATGGTGCCTCACACCTATAATCCAAGCACTTTGGGAGCCCGAGGCAGGCGGATCACCTGAGGTTAGGAATTCAAGACCAGCCTGGGCAACATGGTGAAACCCCGTCTCTACTAAAAATACAAAAATTACTACTCAGGAGGCTGAGGTAGGAGAGTCGCTTGAACCCGGGAGACAGAGGTTTCAGTGAGCCCAGATCACGCCACCATACTCCAGCCTGGGCAACAGAGCGATGCTCCATCTTAAAAAAAAAAAAAATCAAAATAAAATACAATAAAAAATAAAAATAAAATTTAATTCACAGTTGTAACCAGCCTAAATTAAAAATATTTCTTAAGAAAAAGATTGAAACTTTATGTTTTAGATAGTTGTGTTTTTATGACAGAATACCTACACACACACACACACACACACACACACAAACACACAAACTAAAGAACTTTTTCTGTTATATATCAAATCATACTTTTGTTAGTGTGTTTAATTTTATTTTATCTTTCTCTCTGTGTGTTTCTCTCTCTCATCAATTTATCTATTATCTGTCTCTTAATCCATCCATTCATCCTTCCATTCAATCTTCTATTACTTTTAATATTTTTAAATAAACTGCCTTGTTGCTGTGATTTGTATTAATGTAGACTGGCAGAGCCTGAAATGACAGAAAGACTTTTATTTGCATGGAATCTCCTGGAATCAGCTAATAATTCACTATGGACTCTATTTACTCAGATTAATAACTGTGCAGAAATGTCATTACCTGAAGAGCACAAATCTGGGGACAGACAGAATTTTAATCATGGGCTCTGTCATGACTGATTGATTGGTGATTTTGGTTGCTTAAATAATCCGGACTCTAGTCTCCTCAATTATAAAACAGGGAATAATAATGGACTTAACTTTATTATATGTTAAGCAACATAAATTGCTTTGGGTATTCAAAGAAGATAATTAATTGCCGTGGATTAGGAATCTGAAATAGAAGCTTGAATTCCCAGGAGTGAAACAAATTTAGCAATATTTGCATGACTATTGGAGAACCAGACCACTTAACAGGTATACATATGCCCCTCTGACTACCTCCTAGATATTTTCTGCCACGTCAGCAGTAGGCAGAGGACCAGTTGGCTTAGTGTCTATATTGTTTACATGTGGCAGCTCAAACAATGTGATATGAATATGAACTAAGGAGGGAGACACTTCACACTTAACATCTGTTCTTCAGTTTCCCCAACAGGATGCCTCCAAATGTGAAAGGAAACTCATCAATAACAAGCTGAGAAATGAGTCTAAACAACTGACATTTTGGAATAACATATTTGACATTTGTGAGGTCCACTGGTTGTGGCTTAATCAAGAAAGCCATCAGATATCCACAGTATCCATCTTTTAGGCATACACATCTAAAAAACACATCCATTTGTCTTATTTTAAATCCATATTTTAACGTTCAAAATATTATTTCATGGATATTTTGCCACACGATTATGCTAGTTTTTACTATTTTCTCCCCTAGTGTGTAAAAGTACAAGAGAATACAAATTCCTTGGCAAGTCAGTTATTTAGTCATTTCAAATTTTGATATTTCCAGAAGTCATAAGAGGATTCTTCTCTCACAGATGTGATTATGAAACACATTTGATTTACCAACTTTTAGACTTCTGTTTTCTACAAATTAGCTCTCTTGCGCAAGTGGAGAAATAGCATATGTATTTGGTACTAAGTTTCCCTCATAATTGTCAGAACCTCACCATTTATTGTTTTGTAGAAACTGGGCTTTAAAAAAAATCAGACCATATGGTAATTTTGATATTAATACTCTTTTGAAAGACTAAGTGAATGAACTAGTCATCTATATTCACTGATTAAAAACAAAATAAGACAAACTTATTCCATAGTATAGTACTTTGGGTTTGTCTAAAAAAAAATTCATTTACAAATACTATTTCTGAGGGACAATAGCATTTCTCTAGGATACATCTATGTACATGCAACTGAAGAAAATAGCTTTTAAATTTACTTTATCTCTTGTAGTAGTTTTATAGCTACATAAGAGTATTGTAATGCAAAAGGTACATCATAAAAACTGCTTTGTTATATGTTGTGTGCACTTGTATTTGTGTATTTACATATCGACAGCGTACTCACTATTGTTCAGTAGCATATTTTATGATGAATGATGAAACCAGTACAAATTACATGTGAATTTGACTTATGAACTCTTCACATCCACTACCTCATAAACACTACAAGCTAGAGAATGTAGGGACTTGAATCCACAAGCCACAGATGTCAAGATTAATCTATTACGTTTTGAGTACTTGAAACTGCCTGTACAATTAATTTATAGCTGTTTTTTAAAAAAGAAAATAGAACTGAGAAGTGCTATAGCAATCATACTTTGTGATTTAAAAGAAAATAAATACTATTAGTTCATGCCCAGAAAAACAAAAACAAAAACAAAAACTATGGGAACTTTATTACCCTTATCTATACTCTCCCACCTGCAAGAAAAAATGCCTCTCCTCACAATGAATAACACTAGAGGAAATATTTCTGCTTAGTTTTAGAAGGAAGAGAAAAAAAAATTGTGAAACATTCATCTGTAAATAAGAATCTGAAGGAAAAGGCAATGTGGAGGAGGATAGGGCATGACTTCACTGCTGCGAGGGAGATGTAGCCTGGCAGGCTCACAGTGACTTTTTCATAGTCAGAGCCACCTACCCAAAGGTAGAAACCAAAGCAAGTATAAATCAGAAAAATAATCCTCAGTATGTTACATTTAATGTCAAAACATACTTTGTAGACTATGTGAACTGCAATCTTATTTTGAGAGCTAATGTAGAATTATGATTATATTTGGAAGCCTGATTCTGTTTGCCTGATTTGGTCCATTTGGTTGTATATTAAGGCTTGAACATAAGGTTTGTGATATAAAGCTGTCTTTAAATAGGCTCCATGACATTTCAAGTTATCTGCTGGGAAATAATCAACTTTTTCAAATTCATAATAGCCTTGCTTTGGGGAAATTAGTTTTGATTTGATGAGCAAATGGATCACTAAGGATCACTGAGGTGGGGAGTAGTGAGGGGAAGCAGTCATAGAAACCACTAGTTAACACATGTCACGGCTAATAATATCAGGTATTTTGATGCTAGTGTCAATGAGATCCAGCATGCCAGTTAATTTCAAAGAAAATAAACAACAACAAACACTTTGATTGTGTTATACAACCTGCAGTCATTATTTTCTATTAGCTGTTATCTACCTGTTTATCCATTGATTGATTCATCAGTGTGTGTATGTGTGTGTGTGCATTTCAGAATGGAATGAGTGATGAAAATTATATTCTTTCATGCATAGATATTTGTAGAGGGCCTGCTGTGTGCCAGATATTAAGCAATTGCAATTGAGTAAAATAGTATTTAAAAACTACTCACAGCCTTCAAGGAGCACAGCGTCTAACTAGGGAACTCAGACAACTAAATAGGCAATTACAGTGTAGGATAGTTCTGGGGATCAGAAAACAAAACCCCCAAATGAAAGCCTCAGCTGCAGCCTCAGAAACAAACATTTTTCTCTGACCTTCTCCAGTCCTCTTGTCTCTCAGTTCTATTCTCCCATAAGGCTGGCCATGGAAACTAGAATCTCTCTTCCACAACAGTGGGTCATAGTAGACAGAAACCCTAGAACCCCTTTTCTCCAAAGCCAGCCATAAAACCTATGGCTTTACTGCATTTTTTATTATGTCTTTATTTGTAAATCCCACATAAGTAAGCGATTCTCATGGAAGCTTTTCTTGACTTTGGCCACACTCTTGCATCCACAACCAACTTGTGCTACCAAGTGAACAAACTATGACTAAAGGCCTATTCTTCCACTTTGCAGCTGCTCCTATCAGTGACAAATCAGTGTATTAGAACATGCATGCTGGCTGATCATTCTGATCAAGTCAACAAGCTTCACAACTTACTCAATGAGGTCGTCCGTGAGAACTTCACTGTTTTACGAGGACAGGAGCTACTTCTTTGCTGAACTGCATCACGGTTTCAACTGCTGAGGTTTTCTTCAAGCTTTTGCATTGTTTGGAATGTGAAAGGCACGGCCGAGACACACTTTGAGGTTCCCACTGCATTGTTACACCTCCCCCCTCACTTCAGGGCCAGGTGAGCAAGGGAAAGGAGCGCGGCCTGGGCATCCCGCAGGGCCCCCACTAGGAAAGCTATGAACGCTTCCGCCTTGAGCACAGCCACAGGCCTGCTCTGGTCACAATGTGGGGTCGCCCCGCGGACACTGGTGACCAGTGGGAGCATGACCAGGAGGTGATTACCTTCTGATCACCCTTGGCTTTATTTTTAGGTAACACCAAGAAGGACGCCATGAGAGCGAAGGCCGTTGGGTCACCGCCCTTTGCTCTCGCGCTGCGCGTCTCCCTGCCATCAACCGCCGCAACTGGCGCTGGGAGCGGTTGAGGGCGGCCGGCCTCGCGCTGGAACCTCGCCCGCCTCAAGGCTCCTGCGGCGGCGCACAGGGCAGGCCAGGAGCCCGCCCTAGGAGGGCCCCGCTGGAGATGTGGAAATGGAGGGACGCGGCACCTGGGTGCTTCCTGGGGCCAGACAACGCCCCCTCATTGGAACCTCCATGACCGTGCCTCTGAGAAACCAGCGCGTCCGCAACGATCACTCCTAATTTTCGGTAATACAAACCTGCAGTCCATGCACCTAGGTAACACCCTTGCTGAAAGGTTTACCTTTGGAGGGTTTATCCTAAAGCAAAGTATCCTCAAATTGCATGTCTTGCATTCCCTTTGGATGGCATTGATTTCATTCCTGCTCATGCCTTTCAAAAAATAGTATGCCCTGTTTTCCTACTCAGTCTGGAGGTTCCATTAAAGAGTATTTCTGGCAAAGATTTTTAGACCTGAAAACACACTCCAAAATATACTTTCTTCTGACTCCATTCCCAGAGTTTTTCCTACCGCATTCAAATGATTTCTAGAAATGTTTTTGTTGTAACCTTGATCAATTTCAGTCGATAAAGCAGCAGATACTAAGGGAACAATTCCACGCTCCCCACCCCTGACTCTGCAACACAGTGCAGAATTCCAGTTGGCAATAAAAAACTAGTAGAGAAGCAACTCACTGACTTCAGTTTGTAATACCTTCAGAAGAAACTTTAATCGTCACATCCTTTCTGCTCATTTGCAGGATTCCTATCATCTGTCTCCACGTGATAACACTGAAGAGCCTTCACATTGATGCAGGCCCAGGGCCTCAAGTGCAGAGTCTGAGAGCTCTGCAGGACACAGCATGGAGCCGCCATTCCTCTACTGGGTGGAGGAGCATGTGTCCTCTGAACAGGGGATCCAAGCCCTGAGATGTTCTTTCTCAGCTGTCAGTGCGGCCCAGGACTTTCTGTGGGGATGCTCAGACAGCAGGGGCCGGAGGACTTTTAGCCACCACCTCCCATGGCCAGTCTTCACAAATTACCTTTGGCTAATTTGACTGTCTCTCCTCCTGGGGTCTAGGACTTCAAACATGTACAGAAGCGATTGCAGAATTAAGACAAGACACTTCCACAATATATTTTTTGTATCACTGGCTCAGAAAAAGACTCATTCAAATCCTGTATCAAAGCCACATGT